>NC_000010.11:87718852-87870368 GCF_000001405.40 Homo sapiens
ATCCCTTTATCCTCATGTGGCTCCAGTGTGGCTCTGTCAGGAGGGTTCAAGATCAGATGTTTTGCTATTTCCATATCCTTTCCCCTTCCAAGCTGCAGGACCTGTGTCTGAAACTTTCTGTAAGATTCTTCTTTTCCCTGTGGGAATTATCTGCTGGTTCCACCATCTACCTCTGCAAACAGAGTCCACTGGACATACTTATACAACCCCAGTTATGATCAGGATTCTGAGCTCTGCACAGCCCACAGAAGCATCCTAAATGCCTGTGTAAATTGATAATAAAAATAGATAATCAGGGATATGATGTGCTGCCCACCCCTACCACTCGCCGTATGTTAAGTTACTTTGGGTCTAAGTAGAGGCAGAATATCACAGTGGATGAGAGTGTGAGCTGCGAAGTCACACTGTCTAGGTTTGTATGTCAGTGATTAGCTATGAACCTGGGCCAAATTACTTAAACTCTCTGGGCTTTGTTCCTTCATCTGTATAATGGGGATGTTAATAACTGTACCTACCTACCTCATTGGATGTTGAAAGTTTAAAAGAATGCCTGATTCAATAGTCAGTATTTCATACATATTAGCTATTATGAACAAACCACTCTGCATACAGTTAAAAGAATTTGTCAGGCATGGTGGCTCATGACCGTAGTCCCAGCTACTCAGAGCCTAAGGCGGGAGGATCACTTGAGCCCAGGAGCTAGAGTCCCACCTGGGCAACATAGGGAAACTTTGTCTCTAAAAATAAATACATAAATAAAAGAACCTGGAGTCTTGAAGAGACTAAGTGACTTTATCCCTAGTCACATCAATTTGGAAGTAGCACAGATACGATGTTCGTCAGCTAGCCAACAGATATACACTGAGTGCCCCCCATGTGCCAGGGTTTTTCTAGCGTCTGGAGATAGAATGGTAATGAAGGCAGGTGAGCTTGCTGAGAAATACAGTACAGTCATTTTCTGAGACCTAGTCCAGTAAGTCCTTCCCGCCCCCCATCAGTGGTTGTGAAACTTTCTTTTTTATTTTCTTTTTCTTATTTTATTTTATTTTTTGAGACAGAGTCTCGCTCTGTTGCCCAGGCTGGAGTGCAGTGGCGCGATCTCTGCTCACTGCAACCTCTGCCTCCTGGGTTCAAGCAATTCTTCTGCCTCAGCCTACCAAGTAGCTGAGACTACAGGCGCTTGCCACGAAGCCCAGGAAATTTTTGTATTTTTAGTAGAGATGGGGTTTCACCATATTGGCCAGGCTGGTCTTGAACTCCTGACCTCAAGTGATCCACCTGCCTCAGCCTCCTAAAGTGCTAGGATTAGAGCCATGAGCCGCTGCACGCAGCCGAAACTTTCTTTTTTAAACCAGATAATTCTTTATTTCATTTCAAAAATCAGAGGCAATCTACACAACAAAATGGAACTGCCTCACTCCCCCAGTAGAAGGGAGTAGGGGCTTGGGCTCCCTTTCACCTGGAGAGCAGCCTGGAGGGTATCAGGAGGAAGCCATTTGAAACGCAGCAACAGAGGCTCCTGACAGTGCCTCACCTGATGGCGTTTGGACTGAGGAGACAGAGTTAAATTGTAAAAAGTGATTTATTTCTATGTCAGAATGTTGGGCAAGATATCATTTATATAGATATCATTTAATTGTAACCAATTCATGAAGGTTTGAGTCACTGCCATTGAAAATTTGAAATGATCTCCACAGCCACAGACATGTGCCCACTTTTGTCTTCCTTCAAACCATTGCAAATTTCTTGATTACCTACAATCTGAAAGCAACATTGTTTTTATTCTGACCATGTCTCCTAAAAATATTTTGTTGGTTTTAATTTTCTCAAAGGTTTATATTTTCCCCTAAATTTAAAAATAAAATAGTTCTGTCTACTCAGTCCAAAAGCCAAAAAAAAACCCCAAAACAAAAACCAAATCACTTGTTAGAGTATATGATAATTGTGTAGTATGAGTCACTCCATATTATTACTCAAGAATCTACTTTTATATCAGTGTATCATATCACTTTATTTCTCACTAGAAGTATAGTTCCAGGGTTGTCACAGACCCTTTGATCATAAATGTCACATTTAAATTTAAAAATGCAACCTCAAGCTTGTGTTGACTGATGGCATCCAAGTAGGATCAAGACAGGGGAGCCTTGTGAGACTCCATCATTTAATGGCTATTCTTCCGCAGCTCTGACTTTCCAAGGGAGGGTGTGAGAGTACTCTGCATATATCACCAGCACTTATTGAGCACCAATTGTGTTCTGACACTGGAGTTTGACATAGATTATTACATTTAATCAGGATAATACCACTGTGAAGATATTTTGTCCACTTGAGAAAATATGTATTAGAAAGGTTAAATAACTTATTTGAAGCCTAGACTTAAATCCAGGTTGTCCTGGATCTAATGTTGGTGCTTGTTCTGCTGAGCATATTTTCATGTCCTCTAACCATGTGAGATTCTAGGATGTTCTAGGGCAGTTTGCTTCTATACTTGCTCCCAAAGCCTAGTTTGGAAACTATTCTACAGTGGTTGTGAGATCACATGTTTGCAAGAGAAAACTTCTTGGTGAAGCTGGAGGGGACATTAACATATGTTATAATTATTTTAAAACAGATATCTCTTCCCAGTGGATGGAAAAATAAATAAATAAAAAATTAGAAAACCAGATAAACATCTGAACAATGCTTTTGGATTGTATTGAACAACATTCCATACAAGTTCTGATTTCACCAGCTTTTTGCTATTATATACTCTCTATTTTTAAAAATAGCATGACAAAGCTAGTATATTTGTATGTTGTATATGTGAAGTGTCATAATAGGAATTTGTTCTTTGACATTGTTGCTGTAAGATTCGTTTGGTGGAGAGCTGAAAATGTTTCTTAATTGTGTTTATATTTCCCTAGGCATGGCCCTTCCTGGTATGTACTTTAACTTTCCAAGTAGCTAAATTATTATAATTATATATGTTAAATTAACTGGAAATGGTTAAGAACATAACTAAAAGAAAATCTACATTAACCAGTTGGAATCGCTATTAGTTCATGATCCAACCAGCTATAGTAGAATAACACTGTATTTTTCTTTAGACTGGAGTCCAAACAACAGGAAATTTCCCAACCAGATGTAGCTATTGTGTATGATGTAGCATTTGGCTGACAAAAGTAAACTTGTTTCTAAATTATCATTGTACATTTTGTTCCTGAGTCTTTTACATTTATGATCCTCTTCCAATGACTGTTGGTCCTCATTTAGTTTCACAAAGCTGGAAATTTTTTTTCCTACAGTGTTTATAAAAGATTTTAAGTTGATGAAGAATAAATCGATTTAAACTGAATGTACCTGGTTGGATTGTGTATGATTGTACTTCATTTGTTTGCAATGTATGATTATGCATGAACTTAATTTCAAGCCATTATGGTTGCTTGTTATGGAACTGGGAGTAAATATACATTTGCTGTGACTGTAAACTTCTGCATTGTACAAGAATGAAAAGGTAGAATTCTGAATATGTCATCTATCTTTGGTGTTGCTTTCATCATTGTTGTTTTTCCTTTAAAAAGCCCAGTTAAGCAATAAAAAGTAATTTAGGTTTTGCACAGAAACAGTCCCAAACAACCATGAAGCAGATCTATAAGGCTAACACAGAAGGCTTGAAAATTATTGAAAGCAAAAGAAAAATCATTCCATTGAACAATAAGCTATCTCTTGGACTTACTGTGGTTAAAGAACCACAATATTCTTTTTCAAAATAAGATATACCACAATAAAATAATCAAGGCAGTGCCCACCAGAGCCAAATGAAGCACATGAAGGAAAAGGCTGAAAACTCAAGTCAGGGTTGAAAGTCATGGGTGATGTTTCAGCACAGTTCAAGTATTACATCTTAGTAATAGTTGGATACGTTTATATATTAGAAAGGTTGATAAAGATGATAGGGAAACTACAGTAAATCTGTGTATACACATGTAGTGTTGTAGCTACAGGCTTATAAGATCAGTTGGCATTATTACTTGGCAGAACTCCTTTCTATAACATCCCACAGATTCACTTCCTTATTGAGACAACCTGCCAGAGTGTTATTTAGTCATTTCAGATTTTCACTCAAGGCCAAGATGAAGGTAGATTAGAGGCTAAATTGGTCAGGAATCTAGTGGACAAGAGGAGGTGGCTGCAACAGTGAAACATCCCTTGGATTTCAAGTCAGAATACTTGATGGAAGGCAACGTTACAGACGTGTTGCAGGCAGCGCTAGGTTCTTTCAGCACCCTGCTCCACATTTTGCTTTGCATTTTGCTTTATTTCGGCCAAGTCATTCTTTATAAGCAGAGGCAAATATCATGGTCTTCCTTTCAGCAATGTGGTCAGTAAGCAATCCACAGAAAGCATGATTTCTAGTGACAACGACAGCATTTCTGAAGGGGTTATTCTTTGTTAGCCTCTCTCCCTTTTCCTCAACTAGACTATGCAGTGGATTTAATCATCTTCCATCAGCAACCTCCATTAACATAGTGCTTTACAGTTTGCCCCCTGCAGCAACCCATGGAGATACATGTCATTTATTAGCCCATTTTTCCAGTGAGGAAACTGAGTTTAGAAAAGTTGAATGACACACATAGTAAAAGGGAGAACTGCTGCCTTTGAATTTAGTGTTCTCTGCAAAGGACTTAGCTGCTCTAATTGCCCGAGAACGTTGAAACAAAGAGTTATTTGAATGACACACCATTACTTTCTGTATGTACACAGTATCTAGTTTGTGGTTTATAAAGGGTCTCAAAGTATATTGCAGGATTTTATGATAGACCGGATTTGTTTATTGCCGGCAGTTGCTGTCTATTTCCGGTGACATTCTTTAGGTTCTAGTAACCTTTGGAGAGTGTTTAAAAGGTGCAAAGTGATATGCCTGGAAAGTTTAGTTTCATAACTACTAGGGGGAGTCTTATGCCCCGAAGGAATAGAACTCTAATCTTTAACTCTGTCAGAGGCCTTCTAAATGTTGCATTGAAAAGTTAGGTTTAAATGGCTTCATTAATCATGGCACATTCCCTCAGGTCCATAAATAACTGCATTTGCTTCCTCTGGAGTTAAATGTTTTCTTTATTCACCTTCCTTTCATTCTCTTCTGAATCTTGAACTTGAGAACTCTCACAAAATTGTCCCTAATATTATTTTGTGTTATACGCTTAACCATGAGCCCTCATTTTCTCATCTGTGAGTATAATTGAGAGAATAGCCTATTTGTGAGGGCATCATTGTAGGAGGAACACCGTTTTGTACATTTTTTTACATTATCTAGAATCATAGAGAAATGAGATGTTTTTAGAAAGCCAAATTTTATCCCTTTAAGCCCCAGACTGAAAACCAACTACACATTAACTATCTTATTTAGAAACATTTCAAAATAGTCTTACTAAAAAAAAAAAAGTATTCACTCAAAAAAAAAGAGAATATGTTCAATATAAAGGAACTTTTAAAAATGACTCTGTCATTATTAGTTTTACCAGTTATTAAACTGGGCACTAATGTAATGGTGCCCTGAAGATGGGGAGACCTGTGGGATTGTTGGCTCCCACACTAAAGAACCCCCATAACTCTGTATTTCAGTTTCAGTGTTAGAACCTTGTATAGTCAGGGTTCTCCAGAGAAACAGAACAAACAGGATGCATATCTGTGTGTCTATCTATATACAGATATGCATCTCTCTATATAGACATAGATATAAAATATATGTAACATATTTAAATAAATTTATATATATGCATGTACATATATTAATTTATACATATATTAATTATATATATACATTATTTTAATAAATTATTTATTATTATGGAGCCTTATCTCTCTATGTATTATACATTGATATCTATATATAACATATAGATATTATATCTGAATTATATAATATTTCTGATATATATCTGAATAGATAACAATATATCTGTATGTTACATATGGATATCTATGTATTATATATAGGTATACAATAAATCTCTGTCTATACACACACACACACACACACATACACACATAGAAAGAGAGAGATTTATTTTAAGGAATTGGTTCGTGTGATTGTGGAATCTGGCAAGTCCGAAAACTGGGAGGCTGGGGACCCCGAGAAGACCTGCGGTTCAAGTCCACAGGCGGTCTGCTGGCATAATTCTCTCCTTTTCTGGGGAGAAGAGTCTTTTGTCTAATTAGGCCTTTGACTGATTGGATGAGGCCCACTCACATTCTGGAGGGTACTCTACTTTACTCAAAGTCTACTGATTTAAATGTTAATCCCATCTAAAAAGTACCTCTACAGAAACATCTAGAATAATGTTTGACTAAATATCTGAGTACTGTGGCCTAGCTAAGTTGACATATAACATCAACCATCACAGTTTCTATGTGTATTTTTTCAGTAGTTTTCCTGTCTCTTCCTTTGTGGTCCAGCTGTCATTGGACATTTCTTGCTGCTGAAGATGTAGCTTCTCTGAATACCACATTCGATGCCTTCTAATTTGCTGTGCTGTATACTGAGAAATCAGAACACCCTGTTTATTTAAATTCCTCTTAAAGCAAGAGACTCAGCATAATGGTGAGAGGAGCTCACACTCCAGAGAAAGTACATGTGCGTTAATGACTTGATGTCATTTTTCACTCCTCTGTGGTTTTGGACAGATGATTCTCAACTGTGGTTGCGTTAGCAAGACCTGTGATTCCCAGATAAGTGAGATTACCAGTATCCTAAAAAATATTTAGGAAAGAGGGAGCAGGAGGGGGAAGAAAAGGTGATTTTATGCTGAAACCACCATGAATAACATCAAGAGGACTGCTCGTTTGGGATCCCATAGATTAGTGGGTTTTGTTTTGTTTTTTGAGACAGGATCTTGCTCTATCACCCAGGCTGGAGTACAGTGGAGTGATCAGGGCTCATTGCAGCCTCAAACTCCTGGGCTCAGGTGACCCTCTTGCCTCAGCCTCCTGAGTCGCTGGGACTACAAGTGCATGCCAACATGTCCAGCTAATTTAAAAAAAATATGTGTGTATACACACACACACACACACACACACACACACATATTTTTTGGTAGAGATGAGGTCTTGCTGTGTTACCCAGGCTGGTCACAAACTCTTGGCCTGAAGCAATCCTCCCATCTTGGCCTCCCAAAATGCTGGGATTATAGGTGTAAGCCACTGCACCTGGCTGAAAATACATTTTTTACAAGTGCATGAGATGGGTACAGAAAATAGAATGAATAAGATCTAGTATTTGATAGCACAACAGGATGACTATAGTCAATAATAATTTAACGGCTGGGCACGGTGGCTTACGCCTCTTATCCCAGCATTTTGGGAGGCTGAGGTTGGCAGATCATGAGGTCAAGAGATCGAGACCATCCTGGCCAACATGGTGAAACCCCGTCTCTACTAAAAATACAAAAATTAGCTGGGAGTGGTGGCACATGCCTGTAATCCCAGCTACTCCGGAGGCTGAGGCAGGACAATAGCTTGAACCTGGGAGGCAGAGGTTGCAGTGAGCCAAGATCGTGCCAGTGAACTCCAGCCTGGCGGCAGAGCAAGACTCTGTCTAAAAATAAAGTAAAATAAAATAAATTAACAGTGCATTTAAAAATAACTAAGAGGATAATTGGATTTTTGTAACACAAAGGATAAATGCTTGAGGTGATGGGTACCTCATTTACCCTGATGTGATTATTATGCATTGTATTCCTGTATCAAAATATCTTATGCACCCCATAAGCATATACACTATGTACCCAAGAAAGTTAAAAATTTAAAATTAAAGAAAAAGGTGAATGAGGTATTACCCAGATTGTGGCTGATTAGTATTAAAAAAGACAAACACACAGCTGTCATAAGTAACTTATTATACAAAAAATGCATATTCTCATTCCCATAGATTCATATCAATTATCTGATTTTTTTCTTTGTTTTCAATTCAGTGTATTGGTATGCAGATAGAGCCTAAACAGGTAATGAAATAAGAGACTTGCTTAACGTTCTTACAAGTTTCATTTCCAAGAAAGACTAGAGAGTTTTGTTTTGGTTTGTTTTGCTAGCTTAATTTTATTTAATTGGGTTTTGGAAAATTTTAAACTCCCTACTGCATTGAGGTCAGGACTTAGATATGAAAAGGGAACCCACAAAGAGGCGTTTCCAAAGTTAGATCACTTATGGAGGCCACCTCCATGATTTAAAACTCAACCCACTTTTCACATATGCTCCACTTGCTTTGGGAAGCCCTTCAAGGACTTGTCATTATAGAATCTAGAGAAACTGGTGCAGCTAACACAACTACTTGGATTTGGGTCTTAATGCTTCTTGAAGGAAATGTTTGGAAGGGGCATTGTGCACATTTGATTCATGCTTCAAGGATGGCACACCTTATATCTAGTTTTCGTGCATCACATGGCTCTTTCCACAGATGGCGTGATCAACATGAGCATCCCCATTGTACTGCCCGTCTCTGCAGAGGATAAGACACGGCTGGAAGGGTGCAGCAAGTTTGTCCTGGCACATGGTGGACGGAGGGTAGCTATCTTACGAGACGCTGAATTCTATGAACACAGAAAAGAGGAACGCTGTTCCCGTGTTTGGGGGACAACATGTACAAAACACCCCCATATCAAAGTAAGTCACAAAACCTTTGGAAGGACTTTCTTGAGCTATTTAAACTGAGAAGAAAAATAACTCTTTTTAATTCCTTTGCAAAGGACTTAGAAAAACTGGGATTAGGTGGAAGAATGTATTTCTAAGGTAGTGTTTGCAGGCTTTGCCTCAGGAGATGTTTTTAGAAAGGTGCAAAGAAATGTCTTTCTGTTTGAGGTCTGGTCTCAATGATCTCTTGAGTCCTCAGATTCTGCAGTGGCTGGCATCCTCAGCTAAATGGGACCAGATAAGAAATTTAGTCTGACAACATGAGTAGAGAAACAAAATCATAGCTGTAGCTATGCACAAAACCATAATCAGAGCTTGCAGCCCTGCCCATCTTGAAAATGCGCAAGGAACATAAGTATCTTCATAAAGAATGGACCCAACCAAATGCTGGAACAAGAACTCAGAGTTCATGCTCTGTGGCTAGTGAGGGGGTCAATGATACTCTCTTAGTAAATGATACTCTCTTAGTAAACAAAAATCAGCACAGATAGTGGCAGAGTTTCCAGAGGAAAGATATTTTTTCAGTGGATATTTTTAAGATTGAAAAAAATGTGTTCATCTGATAGGATCAGGTAGGGTCTATCATGCCTAAAGGGAAAATAGACTAACTCCTCAGATTCCTTCACAGCTTCTAATTACTGTCGGTGATGGGGTGGGGTGGGATTTTATTAAGTTGCTGGCTGTGGTTCATTTCCCACAAAGAAAAATACATGAAATTGAATGGTAAAACCATCCCTCATCCAAGATAAGAGCAGTAGGGTGGAAATGAAAAAAGTCATATACTACTAATTTGACTTCTCAAATCTCCCAGCATGTCCCTTTCAGCATGTTCACAGGAAGAGAGAGCACTGTCAGACCCAGGAGACTCTAAAAAGCCTGGGATTAGACAAGGCATGCCCTCCCTCTGGGCCTCAGTTTCTTTATTATAAAAGGAGAGGCCAGGCTGGGCGCGGTGGCTCACGCCTGTAATCCCAGTACTTTGGGAGGCCGAGGCCAGCAGATCACCTGAGGTCGGGAGTTCGAGAACAGCCTGGCCAACATGGTGAAACCCCGTCTCTACTAAAAATACAGATATTAGCTGGACATGGTGGCGGGCACCTGTAATCCCAGCTACTCAGGAGGCTAAAGCACGAGAGTTGCTTGAACCCAGGAGGCAGCGGTTGCAGTGAGCCAAGCTGCCAGTGTACTCTAGACTGGGTGACAGAGCGAGACTCTGTCTGAAAGAAAAAAAAAAGAGAGGCCAGACTCAAAATAACTGTAAGATCTCATCCAGCCTCATGACCCTGTCAAAAGATATGGCTTCTTTTGGTCTTCATTTTTGTTACAAAATGTTCCAAGATAGGAAAGACCTTTTAAGTCCCCTGTTTGTGGCCTCTGAAGACCTTCTCTATCTGAACACAAAAGGTCAATGGCAAGCAAAGCAGCTTTTTCATTTATTTATTTTTATTTTTTAAAAATTTTTATTTATGATTTTTTGAGATGGAGTCTTGCTCTGTCATAATCATATAGGTTTGGGATTTTATCTTTACTCAGTGACTGAAAGAATAGCAACCTTTGGTTATGGTTATGTCAGCTCAGATATTTCTACCCTTTGGGAATGATATTCGCATACACATGACTAGCACTAAAAAAACCTGAAGAGTTTCTTAAGTGATTACAGGCATACCTCATTTTACTATGCTTCACTTTATCGTGCTTCACAGATTTTGCTTTTCTTTTCTTTTTTTTTTTTAACAAATTGAAGGTTTGTGTCAACCCTGCACTGAGAAAGTCTGTGAGTGCCATTTTCCCAGCAGCGTGTGCTCATTTTGTGTCTCTGTGTCACATTTTGGTGATTCTTATGATATTTTAGATTTCTTCATTATTATTATGACCTGTTATGGTGATCTACGGTTAGTGATCTTTGATGTTACTATTGTAATTGTTTTGGGACACCACGAATTGCACCCATATGATGGCAGACTTAATTGATAAATGTTGTGTGTGTTCTGCCTTCTCCACTCACTGGCCATTCCCGCATCTCTCTCCCTCTCCTTGGGCCTCCCTATTTCCTGAGATCCAACAATATTTGAATTAGGCCAATTAATAACCCTGCAATGGCCTCTAAGTGTTCAGGTGAAAGGAAGACTCACACATCTCTCACTTTAAATCAAAATGATTGAGCTTAGTGAGGAAGGCATGTAGAAAGCTGAAATTGGACCCAGGTGCAGTGGCTCACACTTGTAATCCCAGCACTTTGGGAGGCCAGGGTGGGCGGATCACTTGAAGTCAGGAGTCCGAGACCAGCCTGACCAACATGGAGGAACCCCATCTCTACTAAAAATACAAAATTAGCCGGGCATGGTGGTGCATGCCTGTAATCCCAGCTACTTGGGAGCTTGAGGCAGGAGAATCGCTTGAACCCAGGAAGTGGAGGTTGCACTGAGCCGAGGTAGCGCCATTGCACTCCAGCCTGCAACAAGAGCGATACTCCGTCTCAAAAAAAATAAGAAAAAGAAATTTGAATTAGGCCTCCTGGGCCAGTTAGCCAAGTTGTAAATGCAAAGGAAAAGTTCTTGAAGGAAATTACACACAGTGAGCTAACAAATGATAAGAAAACAAAGCAGCCTTATTGCCAATGTAGGGGTCAAGGGAAAACTTCCCCTTTGCCCCCTGAAGTTTTGCTGAAAAGGCAACTGACAAAAGGCAGATTAATGAGAAAAGGCATCCAGATTTATTACTGCACACGGGGAAAATCACAGAGTGATTACTCCTTACCCCGATGGGGTAGAGAAGCTTATATACCATCCTGAGATTATAGAAAAAATGAAGGCTCAGAGGATGGCCAAAACCAGGTTATGGCAGGAAATCAGGTTACGCTGGTAAGACAGGTTATGGGAGGGAGGGAAGAGAAGGCCTGTGTAGCAAAGATGGTCTTGTTATATAGATGAAATGAAATTTTAGAGGTAAATGTTTCTTTCAGACCTTTAAATGTGTCAAAGTCTCAGTTAATGTTTCCTAGATCCAGCAAGAGAAGGCCCTTAGAGAAAGCCTGGCTGTATCAATGTAGATTTTCTCTTCAAATGCAAATGTACCCCACAAAAGGCAGATTTTTAGCTATTTTTGTATTTTCCAGCCCTTTTGAATAGCCATCTTGAACTATGTCAAAGAAATATATTTTGGGGTAAAATATTTTGGTTTCCTTAACAGATATGGAGAAGGTTTGAGTGGTCTTGTCCAACCAGCTACAACATTGCCTTAAGCCAAAACACCTAATTCAGAGCAAAGCCCTAACTCCCTTCAATTCTATGAAGGTTGAGAGAGGTGAGAAAGCTGCAGAAGAAAAGTTGGAAGCTAGCAGAGGTTGGTTCAAGGGGTTTAAGGAAAAAAGCCATCTCCATAACATAAAAGTACAAGGTGATGCAGCAAGTGCTGATGTAGGAGCTGCAGCAAGTTACCCAGAAGATCTAGCTAAGATCATTGATGTAGGTGGCTACACTAACAACAGATTTTCAGTGTAGAAGAAACAGCCTTCTATTGGAAGAAGATGCCACCTAGGATTTTCAGAGCTAAAGAAGAGAAGTCAATGCCTGGCTTCAAAGCTTCAAAGGACAGGCTAACTCTCCTGTTAGGAGCTAGTATAGCTGGTGACTTTAAGTTGAAGCCAGTGCTCATTGGCCATTCTGAAAATCCTAGGGTCCTTAAGGATTATGCTGAATTTATTCTTCCTGTGCTCTATAAATGGAAAAACAAAGCCTGGATGATAGCACATCTGTTTACAGCGTGGTTTACTGAATATTTTAAGCCCACTATTGAGACCGACTGCTCAAAAAAAGATTCATTTCAAAATATCACTGCTAATTGACAGTGCACCTAGTTACCCAAGAACTCTGAGGAAGATGTATAAGGAGATTAATTTGTTTTCATGCATAACACCATCCATTCTGCAGCCCACGGATCAAAGAGTAATTTCAACTTTCAGGTCTTATTGTTTAAGAAATACATTTTGTAAGGGTATAGCTGCTCTAGATGGTGATTCCTCAGATGAATGTGGGCAAAGTAAACTGAAAACCTTCTGGAAGGGATTCACCATTCTGGATGCCATCAAGAACATTTGCAATTCGTGGGAAGAGGTTAAATATCAACACTAATGGGAGTTTGGAAGAAGTTGATTTCATCCTTCATGGATGACTTTGAGGGGTTCAAGACTTCAGTAGAGGAAGTAACTGCAGACGTGGTGGAAATAGCAAGAGAACTAGAATTAGAAGTGGAGCCTGAAGAAGTAACTGAATTGTTGCAATCTCATGATAGAATTTGAAAGGATGAGGAGTTGCTTCCTATGAATGAGCAAATAAATCGTTTTTTTGAGATAGAATCTACTCCTGGTGAAGATTCTCTTGAAATGGCAACAAAGTATTCAGAATATTATGTAAGCTTAGTTGATAAAGCAGTGGCAGCCTGTGAGAGGATTGACTCCAATTTTGAAGGAAGTTCTACCATGCGTAAAATGCTATCAAACAGCATCTCATGCTACAGAGAAATCTTTCATGAAAGAAAGAGTCAATTGATATGACCAACTTCATTGTTGTCTTATTTTAATAAATTGCCACAGCCACCCCAGACTTTAGCAACCATCACCCTGATTTGTCAGCAGCTATTAACACAAGACTCTCCACCAGGAGAATGATTACAACTCTCTGAAGGCTCAGAGGATCATTAACATTTTTAGCAAAAAGGTATTTTTAAATTAAGATAGGCTGGGCGCGGTGGCTCACCCTGTAATCCCAACACTTTGGGAGGCCGATTGTTTCAGCCCAGGAGTTTGAGATCAGCCTTGGCAACATGGCGAAACCCTCTCCCTGCTAAAAATACAAAAAATTAGCTGGGCATAGTGGTGCACACCTGTAGTACCAGCTACTCAGGAGGCTGAGGTGGGAGGATCACCTGAGCCTGGGAAGTCGAGGCTGCAGTGAGCTGTGATTGTATCAGTGCACTCCAACCTGGGCTATAGGAGTGAGACCCTTTCTCAAAAAAAAAAAAAGTTTAGATAATATTACATTTTAAAGACATAATGCCATTGCACACTTCATAGACTACAGTATAGTGTAAACATAACTTTTAAAATGCACTGGGAAACCAAAAAATTTGTGTGACTCCGTTTATTACAATATTCACTTTATTGCAGTAGTCTGGAACTGAACCTGCAATGTTTCTCAGGTATGCCTGTATTTTTTTCATCATGCCTTACAATGCATGCTGGCAGATGGAACTCAGAATTTTAGAATTTCTTAGAAGCCAAGGAGAATGGTGGCATGACTTGTGTCTTTGACAATATTTTCAGTGATTCTATACCTTTAGGTTATTAGGGGGACTCGATAAACATTCCCAGGGAGCTAATGGTGAGAAATGAGCCTTGGATAACCAGAGAGAGAAAGCCACTCACCCTGCAGACATTTTGTGCAAAAGTGAGAGAGATTGATGAAGATTGTTGAAGATTGTCGCATGTACCAAACACACAAGTTTTATTGGCAAAATAATTCTTTTTGCTGTGTCCTTTTTTAGCACTCTGAAACCCACAAAAACACTTTAACACAGGTTTTTAGAACCCCACAGCTTCCAAAAGTAATTACTTCTGCGGGAATCCTGGGCCTTATTCTATTTCCATGTGGCACTGGGAGTGATATTTGCAAGGAAAATAGAGTCACTAGGAAATGGTCTGCCTTTGTTACAGAGCTTATCTCCAACGTCATTCTTGACCTTCCATTCAAGGCATCCAGCCCTCTCTTTGGCATCACTAAGTATAGAACCGTGTGACATGCGCTCAAATGAAATCATCAGGAGGAGCAGGTGAAACTTGTAAAACTAATGCTTGCTGGGGCTTTGTTGCCTTTCGTCCATGGCTCCCAGAGATTTGTCAAGTAGTAATTATTTTTCACAATGCTCTTGGTGAGGAAAGTAAGAATCATTACTCCTGTTTTGCACTCTACATTTTCTTGTACAAACCAAGAGAACAGAATATGACTTCTCAATGAAAGATGGGAATGAGAGTTTATAGCCTTTAGCTCCACAATGAAAACCATATGGTTAGTTATATCAACAGAATCACCTGAGGAGCTTTACAAATCACCCATGACTGGATCCCATCCTCACAGATTCTCATTTAATTGGCTTTGAGTCAGATCTGATTATTGAGGGGTGGGTAGTTAAAGCTCCCCGTGATTCTAATGGGCTGTGAAGGTTGAGAACTATTGAGTTAGATAATTGTTTGGAGCTATTTTCTTTAGGGCCCCACCTGCATATATCCTGCAAGTACCTCAAACTCAACATGTTTAACCTCCCCCCAAGCCTGTTCCCCCTACTATGTCTCCTATCTTAGTGACAGCTTCACCATCCAAATGGTGGCCTGTGACCAAAACCTGGATGCCATTCTTGCTTCTCTCTTCTCCCCTTGTCCATTCAGTCACCACGTCCTGCCAAATGTAGCTTTCAGTTATTGCTTGAATTCATTCACTCCTCTTCTATTCCATCTTGGGTCAGGACATTTCAATTCTTTCCTCTCTCTTGTCTTACTCCCCCATAATCTCCCACTCTTTAGCTAGAGTGAATTATTCAACTTTTCTTTGGAAACCCCTTTATTAAGATACAATTTACCGCAAAGCCTCTTGCCACCACCAGCCAACACACTCCCTCGTCCAGTCCTTCCAGAGCTGGTCATTCGATCATGCGCTCTCTGACTTTTGCACATACTCATCCTTCAACCTGGCACACTGTTTCTTCCACCTCTGCCTCCGGACCTTATTACCTCCTTTCAGAAGTCAGCACTGACTCCTATGACACATGAGCATAACTGAGTGCCCCTTCTTTGTCCTCCCAGAGTAATTTGGACTTGCCCCTTTCATACCTGTGACAGGTGAAGCTGAAATGTCAATATGGGGGCCACTGATGAGAGGCAGTGGGTGCAGTGATGAGAAGAATCTGGTTTGCAGGAGTCTGAGATTTGGGTCTTGGCTTTGGTAAGAAAGCTCTGTGCACTTGAACTCTGCCACTTCCCCTCTGTAAAACTGCCTTCTCTTCTGAAAATGAGGACATTAAATCTACATTACCTCCAGGTTCCTTAAAGCCCCAGATTCTGTGACTATGACTGATAGCACAGAAATGAATGTGTGTGTATATATATATATATATATATATATATATATATATATATATATGTATGTATTCTCCTCTTGTAGGCATTAGTTTTTCTTCTCTTTGATTCTGTTCTCTGCACCCTTTCATCATGACCTTATCTTGCTGAATCCACCATTTCCTTCCTTCTTTCTGGTTTCTTTCCCTTCTCTCTGCTCCCTTTTTGCATTCTTTTTCACCTTCCCACCCTCAGCTGCTCCTCCCTTTCCAATTAGTGCATTCCCTCATCTCCAGATTGTTTCTTTTGAGTCTTCCTCTCCTTGGCCTCTTTGAGCCTATTTATCATAGCTTTCTTAGTCTTTACGCTAGTGGTTGAGCTTATCCTCTCCTTTATGCATTCTTGTGTGTAATTTTGAGCCCAATTCCCTATTTGCTACTTCACTGGGCTCCTGAAGCCTGCTCCCCATTCCTTTTGGCGCATCTAGTTCTGCAAATCCTCTAGCTGTGGCCCCCCTGCTGTCTTTGGCAGGAAGCTTGGAAGGGGGTGGGGACTTCTAGGCCACAAAGCCCTGGGAAATTAAGCAGAGCCTCTGGATCTCCCTTCCTGACAGCTGGACACAGTTCTGGCGATAATTGGACCACCTTAGGGATAGAGATGCCCCTTGTCCCTCCCCATCCCAGAAATGCCAAACACATAGTTTTAACATCTCTCTTCAAACAGACAGGTTTTTAGGCTGGATGGTGGATGAATTCGGTTTGATGCCCCCTTCACCAATAGATAGAGCAATATACGGTGGACCCCTAGTGTCCAGAATAAATTACTGCATCCTCAGGGGTTTGGAGGTCAGTTCTCAAAATTGTGCTGTGTCCAACTCTAAGCAATGAGGAGAAAGTAGATGTATAGGTATGGATATTTGAAAATGTTCTTGTTGAATTATCTGACTGAGCACAGAGTTTAGAAAAGAGGCCATGAAAACACAACCGAAAACCTTGCATAATTGCCTTCTGTCTACCGCAGGGTTTCTCAGCCTCAGCACTGTTGACATATTGGACTAGATAATTCTTCACTGAGAGGGCAGTTCTGTGCAATGTAGGATATTTAGTAGCATCCCTAGCCTCTGTTCACCAGATGCCAATAGCACTTCAGTCATCACAATCAAAATTATCTTCAGATATTGTCAAATGTCACCAGGAGTGACTAAATCAGCCTCTGTTTAGAGCCACTGCTCTATCCCAATCCCCCACTCCCTGAACCTCTCTGGAATGCAGGTCATGGTAAACCCCAATATCTGGCCATAATGGGGACTGTGAACCAGGTCCACCATCACTATCTTCGTGTCTTCCTACTAGGTGTTTCAAATCAGCTTTCTCTCACTCACTCTTGCCTCCCTCTTCTCTGCTAACATTTCAGGTAACCAAGTTGTATTTGGAAAGTGGTGAAAGGTACTTGGGGTTTGATTAGGGGGAGGATTGTAAAACCATTACATGTTTGACTGAGGAATGAGATTGGCTGTAAGTATTTGTGTCAGTGACTAGGAGAGACACAGCTCTGTAATTGATTATACTTCAATACCAGATGGAAAATATTTAAACTTATAGAAAAAAAACAAAGGTTGCCATGTTTTTCTTTTCTTTCTTTCTTTTTTTTTTTTTTTTTTTTTTGAGACAGAGTCTTACTCTGTTGCCCAGGCTGGAGTGCAGTGGCGAGACCCCGGCTCACTGCAACCTCCGCCTCCCAGGTTCAAGTGATTCTCCTGCCTCAACCTCCTGAGTAGCTGGGATTACAGGTGCCCGCCACCAGGCCTGGCTATTTTTTATATTTTTAGTAGAGACAGGGTTTCACCATATTGGCCAGGCTGGTCTTGAACTCCTGACTTCATGATCCACCCACCTCAGCCTCTCAAAGTACTGGGATTACAGGAGTGAGCCACCATGCCCGACCATGTTTTTCTTTTTCATTAGTTTCACCATTCTTCAACCCTGGCTTACCCCTAACATTTGTGGGGCCCAGAGCAAGAATACAAATGGAGAGCCATACATCATATTTAAAAGTTACATGTGTAACTAACAAACTGCTAAATAAAATGTGTTTGATCCTTCTACTTTGACAACTATGCCTTAATCACAAACTGGAAAGCCAGGTTCAAATATAGACTTCTGGGTTCTGCATCAGAATATGGTAGTGTGTGGAGAGTTGGCCCTTGGCCTTTCACCAACTCTCCCTTCTCCTTCTATGCTTGGCCTCTTCCTATGCTATGTGGGTCCTCTGGATTGATTTGTGGGCACCCCAGGCTGCATGGCTGAGCTCTCTCCACAACCTCTGCAGACCCTCCCTGCTTGGCCCGCCCTCAGAAGTAGGGCTGCTCTGAGTGTGTGGTCCACCCTGGAAAGACAGGTTGGGAGATGAAGCTCTCCCAGGCCTAGCAGCAAGCTCAGAGTTGATTGGGCAGGAAATTCTAGAGTTCTGGGTACCCTGATTATGATCAAAAGAGTAGGTGATGACTCTGGGTGGGTCTTCCCACCAAGGGTCTCCTTGCCTTTATGAGATAGACACAACCAAAGGGGGCCAGAGTTGGGCCATCTAATGTGTGGGACACTATGAAGATGGTTCTTCTGCAGGTCTCCAGGTGCTCTTCACACCCACCCTTTCCTGAAGTCACATTTTCAGCTGAGACTGGGAATAGAAAAGTGATTGCTTCTAACCTCAGTGAAATAAATCCTCAGTGAGTTAAAAAACGGTGGTTCCTCTAAAAAAAAAAATTAAGGTAAAAAACAGAACATAAAAATTATCATCTTAACCTTCTTGTAAGTGTGCAACTCAGTAATGTTAAGCATATTCACATTGTTGTGAACCAAATCTCCAGAACTTTGTCATCTTGCAAAATGGAAACTCTACACCCATTAAACAACTCCCGCGGTCAGGCATGGTGGCTCACGCTTGTAATCCCAACACTTTGGAAGGCCGAAGTTGGAGGATTGCTTGAGCCCAGGAGTTGAGACCTATCTGGTTATCATAGTGAGAACCTGTCTCTACAAAAAAAAAATTTTAAAATTAGCCAGGTGTGGTGGCATGCTTGTAGTCCCAGCTACTTGGGAGGTTGAGGTGGGAGAACTGCATAAGCCCCGGAGGTAGAGGCTGCAGTGAGCTACTGCATGCCAGCCTGGTGACAGAGTGAGACCTGCCTCAAACAAAAACAAAAACAACTCCCCTCTTCTTCTTTCCTCCAGCTCCTGGTAACTACCATCCTTCCTCCAGCCCGTGGTAACTACCATTGCACTCTCTGTTTCTATGAATTCGACTAGAATTCATAGAAATTTAGATACCTCATATAAGTGGAATCATGTAATATTTGCTTTTTTGTGACTGGCTTATTTCACTTAGCCTAATGTCCTCAAGGTTCAGCCATGTTATAGCATGTGACAGGATTTCCTTCCTTTTAAAGGATGAATGATCTTCCCTTGTATGTGTATACCACATTTTATTTACCCATTCATCCATCTATGCACATTTGGGTTGCTTCCACCTCTTGGCTATTTGAATAGTGCTGCTGTGAACATGAGGATACAAATATTTCTTCAAGACTCTTTCATTTCCTTTGAATATACACCCATAAGTAGGATTGCTGGATCATATGGTAGTTCCATTTTTAATTCACTGAGGAACCTCCATACTGTTTTCCATAGTGGTTGCACCTTTTACAATCCCACTAACAGTGTACAAGGGTTCCAATTTTTATTTTTCTACATCCTCACCAACACCAACACTTGTTTTTTTTCTTTTCTGTGTGTGTGTATGTGTGTGTGTGTGTGTGTGTGTCTCTGTCACCCAGGCTGAAGTGCAGTGACGCAATCATGGCTCACTGCAGCCTCAACCTTCCCAGGCTCAGGTGATCCTCCCACCTCAGCCTGCTGAGTAGCTGGGACTACAGGCATGCACCACCATGCCAGATTAATTTTTATATTTTATGAAGAGATGGGGTTTTACCATGTTGCCCAGGCTGGTCTCAAACTCTGGGCTTAAGCAATCCACCCAACTTGGCTCATGCTGGGATTACAGGCGTGAGCCACTGTGCCCAGCCATTTTCTGTTTTTTAATAGTGGCCATCCTAATGGATGGGAGATGATATCTCATTGTAGTTTTGATTTGCATTTCTCATAATTAATGATGCTGAGCATCTTACATGCTTTTGGCCATTTGTAGATCATCTCAAGTTATGTCTATTCAAGTCCTTTGCCTATTTCTTAATTGGGTTAATTTTTTTGTCATTGAGTTGTAGGAGTTTTTATATATTCTGGATATTAACCCCTTATCAGAAAATATGATTTTCAAATATTTTCTCTTTCTATAGGTTGCTTTTTCACTGTTGTGTTCTTTGATGCACATATGTTTGAAGTAGTTGCAATTTTTTTTGCTTTTGTTGCCCATGTTTTAGATGTCATGTCTAATAAATCATTTCCAACTCCAATATCATAAAGCTTTTTCCCTTATATTTTTTGTAAGAGTTTAATAGTTTTATGTCTTACTTTTAGGTGTTTCATCCATTTTGAGTTAAATTTTGTATGTGGTGTAAGATAAGGGTCCAACTTCATTCCTTTGCATGTGGATATCCAGTTTTCCCAACATTATTTGTTGAAGAGACTGTCCTTTCCCCCATTGAGTGGTCCTGGTACCCTTGTCAAAGATTATTTTTAAAAATAGGGTTTTAGCTAATAGTCTATGTTTAGCCTTAGATGTGAATTTGGCTACATTTTGCTGCGCTTTGGAGATTTCCTTTTGTTTTAAAATCAGATATAATTGAAGAAGGCTGCTTCTTTTGAGAATTTCCATAGAAATTGTGCCCAACAATAATTAACTGGAAGAAAACAAGTTGTCCGATTTTTCCCCCAGGGTCTCTAATTTAGGTCTTCATTGGAAATAGTCTAAGATACATCAGACTGTATTAGGAATGTACTAGCAGCAGTTCTCAAGTATGGCTTACAAAACTGAGGGTCCCCAAGACCTTTCTAGAGAATCCCCAAGTTCAAAACTGTGTTCATAATACTAAGACATTCTTTGCCTTTTTCTCTGTGTTGACATTTGAATTGCTGGTACAAAAGCAGTAGTGGTTAAAACTGCTGTAACTTTAGACTCGAGACAATGACAACTATGTCCATAGTCACTGCACTATTCATCATCATGCACTTGCAGTAAAAGCAATGCTAGCTTCACCTAAGAGTGTTCTTGATGAAGCTGTAAAAGCGATTATTAAATCTTGGCCCTTGAGTCCCCGTCTTTTTAGTATTCCATTACAAAAGAGGAAGTACACATTAAAGTACTTCTGCTACATATACCAATGTACAATGGTTGTCTTAAGGAAAAGTACTTGCACAGTGGTTTGTGCTACAAGCAATACTAGCCACTATTTTTTTTCATGGATCACCATGTCTACTTGAAAGCATGAGTGATAAACTATGGTTATTCAGATATGACTATTCGGCAGATATTTTTCAAAATGGACAAAGGGAACCTGATAATTCAAGGAAAACAGCTGAGAGTATTCATTGCCAATGATAAATCTTAAGGTTTCAAGCAAAATATTTTTGGAAAATTTTTATTCACCACCATAAGCTTGGCAGATTCCCAGTACTTAGAAAACTTTTTGATGAGACTAGTAGTGATATTAACACATGTGTGATGAGACTAGTAGTGATATTAACACATGTGTGTGTTTAAAAATCCTGTAATGAAATATGTCAACACTTGGAAGACTTACAAACTCAGTGAACTAGTAGTTTCTAATTGGCCAATATACAATATTGCAAAATCATTCATGGGTAAATGATTCATCCAAAGCACAGTGAACTAATAGTTTCTAATTGGCCAATATGTAATATTGCAAAATCATTCATGGGTAAATGATTCATCCAAAGCACAATGGATTTTTAATGTAACAGAGTATGAGAAGTGCATTAATATGGCTGCCCATTCCACAGTCCAACTTAAACCTTTAAGAAACTGACACTTGTTGAGTTTTGGTGTAGTATCAGATAAGAATATCCATAATTGTGCAAAAAGGCTATCCAAATCCTCTTCTCTTTTCCAGCTACCTACCTATAGTTGGACTTCCTTTTTATACTTCAGCCAAAACAATGTATTACTACAGATTAAATGTAGACATAGATATGAGAATCCAGCTGTCTTCTATTAAGTCAGATATTAAAAAGATTGCAAATATGTAAAACAATACCATACTTCCCTACATTTGGGGAGGAAAATGCTTATTTTTCACTAAAAATGTTATATATGTTAACAGGCAATAGGTTTATTAATGTTAGCTTTAGATGGATTGATAAACATTTTTAAAGGTTCTCAGTTTAAATTTCTAATATGAAAAGTAATGATAGCTATAACCCACAAAAATGAAAGCTCATGGTGGGGGGTACTCAATAATTTTTTAAGAGCATAACGGGTTCTAGAGACCAAAAAGTTTGAGAAATACTGTGCCAGAAATACTAAAGAACTGAAGGCAGTTCTTTAACTGTAACCCGAGATTGGTCTAAAAGGAGAAAACTTTTCAGATAAAATAGAAATCACAATTAATCATTAGCAATCATAACAATGTTCTTTCTAGATGGTGATGGAAAGTGGGGACTGGCTGGTTGGTGGAGACCTTCAGGTGCTGGAGAAAATAAGATGGAATGATGGGCTGGACCAATACCGTCTGACACCTCTGGAGCTCAAACAGAAATGTAAAGAAATGAATGCTGGTATGTAAACTGTTCTTAGTGCATTTTATTTATTTATTTATTGAGATGGTGTCTTGTTCTGTCACCCAGGCTGGAGTGCAATGGCACGATCTCAGCTCACTGCAACCTCTGCCTCCCAGGTTCAAGTAATTCTCCTGCCTCAGCCTCCTGAGTAGCTTGGATTACAGGTGCCCACCACTACGCCCAGCTAATTTTTGTATTTTTAGTAGAGACAGGGTTTCAACATGTTGGTCAGGCTGGTCTCAAACTCCTGACCTCAGGTGATCCCCCTACCTTGGCCTCCCAAAGTGCTGGGATTACAGATGTGAGCCACTGCACCCGGCCCCTAGTACATTTATTAATATTCCCTTACCACCCTCTGATTAAAGAATTAAGGATACCAGGAGTCAGCATTTTCTTTTTTAAGAGACAGGTCTCACCCTGTCACCCAGGCTGGAGTGCAGTGGCATGACCATAGCTCACTGCAGCCTCAACCTCCTGGGCTCAAGTAATTCTCCAACCTTAACCTCACAAGTAGCTGGGACTACAAGGCACATGCCACCATACTCTGCTAATTTTTATATTTTTTTGTAGAAATGGGTCTCACTATGTTTTCCAGGCTGGTCTTGAACTCCTGGGCTCAAGCAATCTCCCCGCCTCAGCCTCCCAAAGTGCTGGGATTACAGGCATGAGCCACCATCATGCCTGGCTTCAGCATTTTTATAGTTAAAAATAACCTGAAAACATCTTCTATTGGTATGTCTATAATATGGAAACAGTTTTATAAAGTTGTACTATATATTAGAACCATATATTAGAACGCTATTCAACAGTTTAAAATATTCACTGATAGAGATAGCTGAAGTGTATTTATGAAGTGAAAAAGCAAATTGCAGAACAATATGTAGAGCATAATCATGTTCTGGAAAACAAAATAAAATATCATCATAATTCTAAAATCCCTAACCTACTTCTGTGCATAGTGGCAGAAAAGTCTCTGGCAGCACATGCCCCAAACTGCAGATTACAGTGGCTACCTCTTGGGGATGGAGTTTGGACTAAGAGATTTTTACTCTTTATTGTATACATTTTGAAAAAGAGGGAGAAAAAGTAATAATAGGATTGGTGATTTTTATATTCTATTTTGGGCTTTTCTGTATTTCTCAAGTTTTTCATTATAATATTGAAAGTATTCATTTTCAATACTATAGACATAAAAATTATTTCATTATCAGAAAAAAAAATTAAGGCTCTCAGGAGTCCACCACTAAGTGGAGTAGTTTTGGAGATTTCTTTAAAGCGAAAGCAAAATTTTTTTATATCTTTAGATTGTTGCCCCTTGCACAGGCCCCAGAAAACATTTGTTACAATTATTCACCTCCCTCTAGGCTTCCTGGTACAAGAGGACTAATTAACACTGGCCCTGCCTGAGCCTTGGTGTACAGGAAAGGTCCTGGCAACAAATCTTTTCATTCCTGAGTTAGGCTGTCCCTAAGCAGCTTCCTGCCTCTGCATCTCATCCCTGTCTCAGCTATCTGGTGTTGGTTAGTGCTGGATTAACACCTCTAAAGACCCAGGTGTATTCTCCAGCTGATTATCAGAAGCCAGTGGATAGGCTGGGTGCAGTGGCTTACGCCTGTAATCCCAACACTTTGGGAGGCTGAGGCAGGCGGATCACTTGAGGTCAGGGGTTCGAGACCAGCCTGGCCAACATGGTGAAACCCTGAGTCTACTAAAAATACAAAAATTAGCCGGGTGTGGTGGCACACGCCTGTAATCCCAGCTACTCAGGAGGCTGAGGCAGGAGAATCGCTTGAATCCTGGAGGCGGAGGTTGCAGTGACCTGAGATCGCTGACTGCACTCCAGCCTGGGCAACAGAGTGAGACTCTTTCAAAAAAAAAAAAAAAAGCCAGTGGATAATGAATGCACAGAACAATAAACATAGCTGTGTCCTTTCTGTTCTTGTGGAGAAATGACACCATGTGTTTCTGTGACCTTCCTTCTTCTGCTTTCCTCTCCCAGATGCGGTGTTTGCATTCCAGTTGCGCAATCCTGTCCACAATGGCCATGCCCTGTTGATGCAGGACACTCGCCGCAGGCTCCTAGAGAGGGGCTACAAGCACCCGGTCCTCCTACTACACCCTCTGGGCGGCTGGACCAAGGATGACGATGTGCCTCTAGACTGGCGGATGAAGCAGCACGCGGCTGTGCTCGAGGAAGGGGTCCTGGATCCCAAGTCAACCATTGTTGCCATCTTTCCGTCTCCCATGTTATATGCTGGCCCCACAGAGGTGAGCAATTCCCAGAGCTGGGCTTTGAGACTCAGGAATTCAGACTCAGACTTTACATAGAAGAGTAAATGAGTCTCTGGGATCCTTTCTGTTTCCTCATGAGCAGATTCTGGAATGTTCTGGTGTCTCTTCTTTATCTAGCTTAATTATGTTTCCACTTAGTATTTGAAAAGTGCTAGAAGGCCAGGCGCAGTGGCTGTCACCTGTAATCCCAGCACTTTGGGAGGCCGAGGTGGGCAGATCACAAGGTCAGGAGTTCGAGGCCACCTGACCAACATGATGAAACCCTGTCTCTACTAAAAATACAAAAATTAGCTGGGCATAGTGGCATGCCCCTGTAATCCCAGCTACTCGGGAAGCTGAGGCAGGAGAATCGCTTGAACCTGGGAGGTGGAGGTTGCAGTGAGCCGAGATCATGCCACTGCACTCCAGCCTGGGCAACAGAGCGAGACTTCGTCTCAAAAAAAAAAAGAAAGATGCTAGAAACATCAAATCAAACCTATTATACATTGCCTTTGAGAATATGGAAGTTGGCAAGTGAATGAGGTGGCTAATGAAACTTAACTGGGTGATAGGGCAAGTTGTATGTAACCTAATATTCAATTTCAGAAGTTCCAGTTACTCTCCATGCCCTGTGAGCTTCATTAGGAAAGGATATCTTTAAAAGATAAATGTCACCCTTTTATCATAACACAGTGAGCTTATCAAACAGAGATTTTCTTTGTCCCACTGCACCACCAGTGTAGTGGATTTGAACGAGCTGGCTGCAAGTATGATGAATAGAAAGGGTCTCAACCCTTTGGAATGCCCCAAACTGAGTTTAATGAATTAATTCTCTTCAATCAGATAAAAGTTCCAGGCCCCTAGCTCTCCTTTCCATCCTTTGTATTGCTATCTGAGCTTTAAAGAGGGTAAGTGTTATGTTGAACTGAAATCAGCATTTGTGTGTGAAAGGTAATTAGCTCATTAATGGCAGTCAGATAATGAGATACTAGAGTTGGTAATTTCCTTTAAACTGCAATTTATTGTGAATAGGGAGGCACTGGAAAGTAAAATCCACATAGTTCTGTAGAATAGTAAGATTTGAGTGTTCTTGTCCGGCTAGCCTGTTTGGAGAAGAGATGAGGAAATACAACCTTGAGTTATGAGGGAGGAATCTTATCTTTAGAGCTCCTATCCTACCTAATATAACAAAGCATGAAGAGTGCACGGAGTCTTAGAACCTCAGTGATTTTCTTGCAATTCTTAGTTGACTCACATTGCTGAATTACTTTTAAAGTAGAATAAAGGTGTCTCCATAAACCATGACCTACAGATTTGACCCACAATGACCAGCATGTCCCTTATGGACATTTTCTAGGTCCAGTGGCACTGCAGGTCCCGGATGATTGCGGGTGCCAATTTCTACATTGTGGGGAGGGACCCTGCAGGAATGCCCCATCCTGAAACCAAGAAGGATCTGTATGAACCCACTCATGGGGGCAAGGTCTTGAGCATGGCCCCTGGCCTCACCTCTGTGGAAATCATTCCATTCCGAGTGGCTGCCTACAACAAAGCCAAAAAAGCCATGGACTTCTATGATCCAGCAAGGTAGGTTTTCAGAGGAAAATTCTTTTATCAACATCTGTATAAAAGAAATGATGAGGCAGAATTTGGGCCCTTTGAAAAACTCTCCAGTGCATTGCCACATGCTCCCAAGTGGACTGAGTCCCTTGAGAGTCAAGACGTGGTCTTATAAATTTTATGTCCCCTAAAATTGTACTACAGTCTTCTGCATATAGTAGATGGTCCATAAATATTTCTCTTTCAACATGCATTCTTGAGCATGCACAGAGTGCCTGGCACACTAAGTGAAAGGAAGCAACATAGAAAGAGATTGCAATGAATATTTATGGTGCACTTGCTCCTCATGCTGAGGGTTCACAGAAGTAGGCAGAGAAACAGAAGACAGACTCTGGGCTCAAGACACTTCCCAGGAACAGTATAGGCGCATGGCAAATACTAAATGGATAGCTGCCATTATTTCCCTTCTCTTCTGCAAGTTCCTGAAGATTTAGAGGACTGCCCACTTTTGAAGATGCAGCATTTTACAGAAAGAACATGGGTCTCAAAAACCATAACCTACTCCAGGAATCCTTAAGGCAGATATCATTTACCTACACTGAGTTCTTTGTTGCCACCCTGTAACAGGCACAATGAGTTTGACTTCATCTCAGGAACTCGAATGAGGAAGCTCGCCCGGGAAGGAGAGAATCCCCCAGATGGCTTCATGGCCCCCAAAGCATGGAAGGTCCTGACAGATTATTACAGGTCCCTGGAGAAGAACTAAGCCTTTGGCTCCAGAGTTTCTTTCTGAAGTGCTCTTTGATTACCTTTTCTATTTTTATGATTAGATGCTTTGTATTAAATTGCTTCTCAATGATGCATTTTAATCTTTTATAATGAAGTAAAAGTTGTGTCTATAATTAAAAAAAAATATATATATATACACACACACATATACATACAAAGTCAAACTGAAGACCAAATCTTAGCAGGTAAAAGCAATATTCTTATACATTTCATAATAAAATTAGCTCTATGTATTTTCTACTGCACCTGAGCAGGCAGGTCCCAGATTTCTTAAGGCTTTGTTTGACCATGTGTCTAGTTACTTGCTGAAAAGTGAATATATTTTCCAGCATGTCTTGACAACCTGTACTCTTCCAATGTCATTTATCAGTTGTAAAATATATCAGATTGTGTCCTCTTCTGTACAATTGACAAAAAAAAAAATTTTTTTTTCTCACTCTAAAAGAGGTGTGGCTCACATCAAGATTCTTCCTGATATTTTACCTCATGCTGTACAAAGCCTTAATGTTGTAATCATATCTTACGTGTTGAAGACCTGACTGGAGAAACAAAATGTGCAATAACGTGAATTTTATCTTAGAGATCTGTGCAGCCTATTTCTGTCACAAAAGTTATATTGTCTAATAAGAGAAGTCTTAATGGCCTCTGTGAATAATGTAACTCCAGTTACACGGTGACTTTTAATAGCATACAGTGATTTGATGAAAGGACGTCAAACAATGTGGCGATGTCGTGGAAAGTTATCTTTCCCGCTCTTTGCTGTGGTCATTGTGTCTTGCAGAAAGGATGGCCCTGATGCAGCAGCAGCGCCAGCTGTAATAAAAAATAATTCACACTATCAGACTAGCAAGGCACTAGAACTGGAAAAGACCACAGAAAACAAAGAATCCAACCCTTTCATCTTACAGGTGAACAAACTGTGATGATGCACATGTATGTGTTTTGTAAGCTGTGAGCACCGTAACAAAATGTAAATTTGCCATTATTAGGAAGTGCTGGTGGCAGTGAAGAAGCACCCAGGCCACTTGACTCCCAGTCTGGTGCCCTGTCTACACCAGACAACACAGGAGCTGGGTCAGATTCCCCTCAGCTGCTTAACAAAGTTCCTCGAACAGAAAGTGCTTACAAAGCTGCCTTCTCGGATACTGAAAGGTCGAGTTTTCTGAACTGCACTGATTTTATTGCAGTTGAAAAAAAAAAAAAGCTATTCCAAAGATTTCAAGCTGTTCTGAGACATCTTCTGATGGCTTTACTTCCTGAGAGGCAATGTTTTTACTTTATGCATAATTCATTGTTGCCAAGGAATAAAGTGAAGAAACAGCACCTTTTAATATATAGGTCTCTCTGGAAGAGACCTAAATTAGAAAGAGAAAACTGTGACAATTTTCATATTCTCATTCTTAAAAAACACTAATCTTAACTAACAAAAGTTCTTTTGAGAATAAGTTACACACAATGGCCACAGCAGTTTGTCTTTAATAGTATAGTGCCTATACTCATGTAATCGGTTACTCACTACTGCCTTTAAAAAAAAAAACCAGCATATTTATTGAAAACATGAGACAGGATTATAGTGCCTTAACCGATATATTTTGTGACTTAAAAAATACATTTAAAACTGCTCTTCTGCTCTAGTACCATGCTTAGTGCAAATGATTATTTCTATGTACAACTGATGCTTGTTCTTATTTTAATAAATTTATCAGAGTGAAGGCTGAGTTTTTTCTGCCTGTACCATTGGGTGTGGGTTGACCACACAACTTAAGGGCTTTGTGACTTTGTATAATTGGAGTGAGACAGCAGCAACTCTCTTGAACATCATAACTGAGATTATTTACCCTTATTCATGTCTTTTTTATTTTTTATTTTTTTAAAGACGAAGTCTTGCTCTGTCACCCAGGCTGGAGTGCTGTGGCACGATCTCGGCTCACTGCAACCTCCACCTCCTGGATTCAAGTGATTCGCCTGCCTCAGCCTCCTGAGTGGCTGGGATTACAGGCATGCACCAGCACGCAAGGCTAATTTTTGTATTTTTAGTAGAGATGGGGTTTCACCATGTTGGCCAGGCTGTTCTTGAACTCCTGACCTTGTGATCCACCTGCCTCGGCCTCCCAAAGTGCTAGGATTACAAGCTCACTGCACCCTGCCTTTTTTCTTGTTTTTCTTTTTTTTTTTTTTTTGCCTGCAGTGGTGCAATCTTGGCTCACTGCAACCTCTGCCTCCTGGGTTCAAGCAAGAGTAGCTGGGATTCATTACTGGGTACATACCCAAAGAAATATAAATCATTCTGCTATAATGACACATGTACACGTTTATTGCAGCACTGTTTACAATAGCAAAGACATGGAACCAACCCAAATGCCCATCAATGATAGACTGGATAAAGAAAATGTAGTACATATGCACCATGGAATACTATGCAGCCACAAAAAGGAATGAGATCATGTCCTTTCCAGGGACGTGGATGAAGCTGGAAGCCATCACCTTCAAAAAACTAACATAGGAACAGAAAACCAAACACTGCATATTCTCACTAGTAAGTGGGAGGTGAACAATAAGAACACATGGACACACAGAGAAGAACATCACACACCGGGGCCTGTTGCGGGGTGGTGAGGGGAGGGAACATAGAGGACAGATCAATAGGTACAGCAAACCACAATGGCACACATATACCTATGAAACAAACCTGCATGTCCTGCACATGTATCCATTTTTTTTTTAGAAGAATTTTTTTTTAAGAGTAGCTGGGATTACAGGTGTGCGCCACCACACCTGGCTAATTTTTGTTGTTTTTTTCTTTCGGCAGAGACGGGGTTTCGCCATGTGGTCTAGTCTGGTCTTGAACTCCTGAGCTCAAGCAATCTGCCCGCCTCAGCCTCCCAAAGTGCTGGGATTACAGATGTGAGCCACCATGCCCAGCCTATTCTTGTCATATTCTAAATTGTGCTCTAGATGTGTAAGATACATGGTCTCAGCCAAGCACTTAATGACATTTTTGGTAGTTGCTGGGTTGTCCAGCGGCCTCCTTAGCCCAGAACTTCATCACAGGTGTTTGTTTTTTGTTTTTTTTTTTTTTTTTGAGATGAAGCTACTTTGTTCCCTTTACTTCAAAGGCACAGATCTTATTCTCTAAGTGCCCCTAAGGAGTTTCACCAGTAGGGCTGGAAGCAGTTGGGTTTTTCTCTCAGCAACCCCTGTACCTCTAATGCAGAAAGGGTTACCTGTTCCCACCAAAACTTTCAGCAGCCTTCAGGCCTGCAGCTTTTTTCCGTGAGTCCCTCCTTCCCTTCTATCCTAAAGGCTTCATGCATTTTTTTTGCTGCTGATCCTCACCCCAAATACAACTGATGTAAATAGCCAATTCAAAGCTGCCATTTGTAGTCCCCTTTTTTCTCCCCATGTTACTTGGTGGCTCCTAGTGCCAATTAGTACGGCAAAGTGGCGGGATATGTCTACGTAAACACATGAAGATGTCAGTGTTGCTGAAGGAGTATGCCAAACTGTTTCAGGATATTTTTCAGAAAAGACTCTGAAAGGCATATGTTATCATTTAGTCAGATGGTGGCAAACCCTTATTAAATGTATCAACACTTTTATCAGGTCACAATATTTTCCCAATCATCTTCCCTGCAAGAAGAAACAAATCTCGATTACTTGGGAACAGCAATTCATTTTCTCCTTATCCTCCTTTTTTTCTATTATGTGACTTTCAGGTCTACCACTGATCTGCAACATAACTTTCCTTATAGGCAGGAAACCAGCAAACTGGGTAGGCACCAGGTCAGTCAATTGTTCTTATGTCTAAAGGTTTGATGGAATGAGGGGAAGCCACAATATGCCACCTCAGAATATACTTCTTTGGCATATTTCAAGTTGATTATTCTGAGAACTGCAGGCAGGAATAGCTCTGAAAAGCTGTCCATTTCTAAAGGAAATTTACATCTATCCACCTTACTAAACAGAGGATGCAAGCAGAGGTTTCTCTCTGAAGGCCCTTTATCTGCCTAAAGAAAGATAAAGCTCTGACACCTCCCTAAAACAGAGACTACCACAGGCAGTCACCTATTCTTCTGATAGCTGTTGCCTAAGAGATTTCATTTGCACAAGACAGCCTTTGCTTACCATGCAAAGTTGCTCACCATCCATCTAGGCAGAGTGGGGCAAGCCAAGCAGCATTCATCAAGTGGAAGTGGAGCTTATGGGATCTGAAGCAGCAGTCCCTAAAGGCCCGTCCACACAAACTACATACGTAAGTTGCTCATACTTCCAGCATGTCCACTTGTTATAATATTGCCCTTCATTTAGTATATACCCAACACCCAACATATTTCAATGTCAGGGCTTCAAGTAACCACCTGGTCATTTGTCAGATTTTGTTTGTCTAACAGTCTTTCCCACAATTTCCTTTGAATAAATTACCTCTCCTTTCACATTTAGTCTTGATGAATCAGTAAACCCAGCTGCTTTGCCTCAAACCATTTAAGCCGAAGTAGTTCCTGTAGAGTCCTCTCAAAGCTCCAAGACTGCCAGGGGTGATTTCTGACCTAGGTTTGCACACTCACGTCCAGGCATTTAAATCTTGAATGGGCATTTTAAGCAGCTGGAGTTAATTTAATCCATGATGAATAAAAGCAAGATTATTGAGCAATTTCTGCTTAAAAAAATCTTCGGGAGCTAAGTTTCTATCCTGAGTCTGGTTCTTTAGCTTCCGTTTGATCTTATATCCTTCAAATAAATTCTTTATTGCTTAGGTTAGCTAGAGTTGGTTGCTACAAACAGAATCCTAACTGGTATTCTTTGTAAGTCTATGACTATGGCCTAACAGATGACCCTCATCTCCCTTAGACATGACTGCAAGTGATTTTGTTTTACTGGATATAGCCAATCCCCTATTTGAGTTATCTTGGCCATTCTTTGAATTTCTGGAAACTGTGTATTTTCAGAACAGTGAGATATACACCACTGTGTTCTAGTTTCAGTTCCAAATTTGCATGTCAGTAACTTATTTCAATGTTTTGGCTTTAGGGTTTTTTTTTTTTTTTTTTGTAGAGACAGGGTCTCACTATGTCACCCAGTCTGGAGTGCAATGGCACAATATCAGTTCACTGCAATTTTCACCTCCTAGGCTCAAGTGATCCTCCCCAGCAGCTGGGACTACAGGTGCACTTGGCTTTAGTTTTACAACTGAATTGTCATGGTTTACAAACCTGTGTCCCTGATGCATCCCACACCCAATACTAACATTCACTGTTACCTATTTTAAAAGCACAAAAGCTAGTATTTGAAAGTATTCTCATGCAGGTTTATGACTGTAAATATTAGACGATTACAAAAATATAATCCCACTTCAGTGTTTTAGTAATGAGACCCTTATCGGCCATTAATAAATAGTATAAATTTTACACCAGGGTAACTGGGATGTTTTCTGTTTCTTCTCACATTGCTAAGTGGTTTTAGGTTTGATATCATCTGCACACAGCATCTGTGTCATATATGACAATCACATTTTAGTCAATTATGTTAGAAGCTCATATTTAATAAGGTTCAAGTTCTCCTCAATATGATTTTCATTAACATCATGATTTAGGCAGAATGTTTTCCTATACATGTAAATAAAGAGAACTTTAGCTTTAAAAAAAAGATTAGAGAACTCTATCTTTGATAACTAAATCTATAACAAATTTAATAATGAAGGCTCTGAAAGATTTCTGTCAGCTCTAGATGGAATTATTCTATGACTTCATTTGAAGCACCCAGTTGGTGCTGGAGTTTCAGCCATGCACTATATATATTCAGCATATCAGAATTCTGTTCAATATTCTGATTTTAAGAGAAGCTAAAAAGAAACATAAAATATACATCATCCAATTTATTTTCTTTATCCAGAAGAAATCTGTTAACATTTTCCCAAAATAACAATTCAAGTAAAAAATTCCTACCAACGAGATGATGTTGCCACCATTTTTACACAAGCACACTCACGGCTTGAGACATCCTCATCTAGCATTAAACCTGTAAGTTACAGCTACTAAATAATGTTAAGCTATTATGATGCATACAGAATAGAGTACCCCAACCCAGCTCTTAATGAATGCTGGGTTTACCTGCAGGTAGGGGGTTGGCTGAGATTAAAAGGAGAAACATAGTAAAGGAGATACTAAATTGATTCAAATACTTCATTTCTAAACTCTACAAAAAAGGCCTGAGAATAGCTTGAGACACATCAGACTTATCAAAAGTCTTCCAGCAATGATGCTTTTAGAGAAACATGGCATAAATGATCCTTTCAGTCTCAATCCCTGGAGTACAGGCCTAGGGATTATGGAACTGGTTTAAGCATGGAGAATGCTTAAAGAATGAGCCTGGTCAACAGGAAATGTACATCAGTGTGCAAAAGTGACAATATTAATACGACAGCTAACATTTGAGCAGTAATTCTGTGCCAGGCACTATGCTGAGGGCCTTACATGCATTATTTTATTATCCAACCCTTTAAGATGAGTGCCACTGTTGCCCCATTTTACAGATGAGAAACTGGGCTCACAGACACACAGTTAATGGGGAGCCTGAGTTTAAATTCAGGAAGCCTGATTCTAGATCCAGTACTCTGAAGTATTACCCAAAATGAATTATCTTAGAATCTAGAATTCAACTATATGTGAAATGCATGTCTAAAACAGAAGGATAGATGTTACATAACACTAAAAGTTATTTAAAAATCAGGAAAATAGTTTCCTGAATTACTTTATGGTCTTAACATGCCTAGATGAGTCATAGTTGCTGGGATTAGTATACTTCTCTAACTTCATTTGATGATTAAAACCACGAAGAAATTGAATAACCACTCCTACTGGATATTGTGAATTTAAGAGAAGACAAAAAGAAAGGACATGTGGAGGTATACATTACTCCTTATTTTCGATTAATATGTCACCAGATTAAAATTAAATTACTGAAATTCATATTAAAACAGAAATGACTAGATACTAGGATATGTGCTATAGAAGTGTGAAAACTCCATAGCAAGATAAAGTCTAAACACAAGTTTTATAAACCAAAAAAAATCCCAGAAAACTTAAAATTACTGAAAAAGACCAAAGATTAAGTGGAGAACAACCAATAAAGAGGGACCCCTTTATTACACATTTATAAAATAATAGAATATAGTTATTAAAAATGGGACACTTTTTTTCATTTTTGGTATCTTGTATTCAGTTTTTCCATCCTCTTCACAATCTTCCATAACTTGCTTTTTGTTATCCATTGTTCACCTGAAACTTCCACCCCACCATTCAAAGTACAACTGAAGAATAAACGATCTAACAGATTCTTGTGAGACACATTATCAGATAAATTAATCCAGTGACACATGAATAAAGATTTAGAGTTTTTAAAGAAATACAGTAAAAGCAAAAACATATGAAGCATAATTTAATCTGATGATTCAGAAGGCACCTCAAGATTGTGTTGTGCCGTTTTCCTCATGCTGCGTGGTTAGGTGCCTATAACAGAATTCTGGTTAGTAAAATTTTGAAAAAAATTCACATATAATTCACATTAAACGACTACAGATAGATACAATATGGGCATTTTGATGTGTACATTTGTACCTGACTTAGGGCACAATTTATAATAATATACTAAGAAAACTAAAATTAATTATAAAATGAGTATTTTTAGCACACTTAGTAACAGCTACTTGTTTTAAACTATTATTTCATTTTTGGTGACCAAATTATATTTGACCATAATTAAAGAACACATAACCTTAAAATAATATTTAAGAAACATAGTTACAACAGACATGTTACATTAAATGAAAAAAGGAAAGAAATGTACATGTATTAAAGGGTACTGAGGTTTTTCAAACCCATTCTTTTGAAAGGCCTTTTAATCCACTTTCATGTAAACCAATTTAAATTTAAAAAGTTTATACTCAAGAGGTGAAATCAGTGTTGAGCACATGGCTGCCTAACAACCATTCAATGCTGATCACTGAACTAGTATTTTCATTTGATTATCCTGACAAACATAATAATTGAGCCCATGTATATATGCAAGATGTGGAGGATCCAACTAATAACTGCAGAAATAAAAACACTCAACTTAAAAAAGGTTGAAACAAATGACAAATGGAAATGGCTGAATCACTGTACCTTTTTGACACAACCTTAAATCTTAGTTTTACTATATATTATTTGGTACTCCTGGATTCAGTAGTTGGGGTAAAAAAAGTTTCTATATTCAAACATATCTACAGAATGTCAATATAAAATGTGTGGATATATACATTTAATATACACATACATACACGCACACACACAAACGCATACTCACATGTCTAGGAACCAGCACCTAACCACATCCCCGTTTCTCACTAATGACCCAATGAATCATTTATGACTTTAAGACCAGCTTAGATTCTATAAGGCTGTACAATATATGGCTGAAAAGGTCAAACACAAGCACCCACGTTCAGGCTGGATTCAACTGTTCCTCCTCATGATTTTTGACCAACAGTAATACCACCTATGTAACAACTATATCTCAATAACTTAGAATTCAGAGTATAAAACCATAAACACTGAGCTCCCTCATTGTTTAAAGAGCACTCTTTCCGTTCTATTTCCACTAACTGATAAGAGGACACACCAAACTAGATCACTGAACTGTACAAATGATCTTTACTCTTAATCTAAACAAACATGTGTTAAAACATTCTGAAATGCTGCATCCTTTGATTTCTTCATCTTTTCAATTGCCCGATGCAGGTCCTGCTGTTGAACAGGCCGAATTTCATCTTCGTCATGGCTAAAATGCAAACAAAACCATCAAATACTCAAATAACTTTAGAATATGCCTCCCTAAAATATTTTACCAAGATTTAAAAGAGATGCATGTGGTAAAAAAAAAATTTTGTTTTCAACTGTAGAAAAGGGTATAAAAATGAAATCTCTTTACCATTCAAGACCCCAAAGACAACCACAATGAACAGCTTCATGTAAATGCTTCCAGGAATTATCTACACATAGAGAAATCATAAGGAATTTTTTAAAAGCACTGAGTGCTAAGAAGTAGGAAGCTAAAATAGCTACAAAGACTTCACATCTATAAGTACACAATATTACCATAAGGTAAAAAATGTTATATGGTTTATTGAAATGGGAATATAATTCCAATTTAAAAAATCACGTTATTCCCATGAAAACTGTAATTAAAAAGTAGCATTTCTAGGTATATACTTACATGCATGTTTTGCTTTTTACAAATTGAGAGTAAAATTCTTCACTATCAGTAAAAATCAACTAATCCAAATCCTCCCTACTTCAATGAGAAACAAAGTCCAGAATATTATGGCTCCCTTGTAATTTACAGATATTCAGGGAAAAACATTCAGGAAAAAGTTATAACCCAAGTCCATCCAGATTTTTCATACTGAAATATAAAATTATAAAATATGAAATTCAGGAAATATAAAACTAGCCAGACTTTTCATACTGAAATACAGTTTTCAGGGCTTTGAGGCAGCAAAAAAATAGATCTTTCATTATTAGTGTAATTTACCTAAGCAAAATTTACGAACTGGTTGGTTATTTCTCCTCTTAATCTTATATATAAGAATAAAAACCTGGCCAGTAGCGGTGGCTCACACCTGTAACCCTAGCACTTTGGGAGGCCAAGGCGGGTGGATCACCTGAGGTCAGGAGTTCGAGACCAGCCTGGCCAACATGTCGAAATCCCGTCTCTACTAAAAATACAAAAATTAGCCGGGCATGGTGATGGGCGCCTATAATCCCAGCTGAGACTGAGACAGGAGAATCGCTTGAACCTGGGGAGAGAGGTTGCAGTGAGCCGAGATCACACCACTTCACTCCAGCCTGGGCAAAAGAGCGAAACTCCGTCTCAAAAAAAAGAATAAAACCTTTGGAAGGTAGATTCTGAGGGTGCACTAACGATGATGAGACCAGAGCCACTGCATATACAGCTACCAGTTGACAGAGTAGCTTTCATGCAGACCTTTCTATATCAAAGCTCGCAAAACATTTTTTTGCTGAAGTTTGCTATGGCAACACACTGCAATTAAATATATGAATACCACAGGCAAGGAGTGAAATCCCTAGGAAGGTGAGGAAGGGAGACCAAGAGACAAAGGGACAAGAGTTGGAGAATTCCTTTAACACAACCCCTAAAAGTACACTGGAGTTCACCAAGAATCACAGAAATTGTTAGAAGGCTGATATTCTGAAAAGAAATGCAGTATAATACTGGTTCCAGGCAAGTGGCATTTTAGGAAACTTCCTTTAGGACATGGTTCACCAGGGCTGAACTATTCCAGTTCATTAGTATCTTTGCTGAAATAAGGCTGTTAAAAAAATTGGATTCTCAACTTCACTATACTTTGGAACTGGTTCCAAGTAAAATTGCTGCAGTGATAAATGGTTTCTTTGTTCAGTAAATACATTTTCGTTAACAAATTGAGGTCTAGTCTTCAATATCTCCAATTTACATGGGAAATTTCCCCTCACATTTACATGTGAAATTTCCACGGATCATCAGAAGAAATTCACCTTTTTTCTCCTTCATTCTAGACCCTTCCCACAATTCTGCCCTCCTTCATTTTCAGAATTCTGCTTTGGAAAAATGGCAATAAATAAAGTTGCAGGGGGTGATAATCCAAATTTACCTTTTATTTCATAAGCGGTGTTTCTAATATAAAGCAAAATAAAAGAAACTAACCTAAAAGCTCTAAAAGATTTTGACAAGTGTTAAAAATCAAGTCAAAATAACATACCTTTCTTCTGATGTAGAATTAACATATTCTCTAACACAGAGGAGGGCAGCATCTCGACACATCTCTTTTAGGTCACTTCCTGAAAACCCATCAGTTTCCTGGGCAACTTCTAGCAGGTCTACATGCCTATCCACCTTAAACAAATATAAAAACATGCTTAAAAAACAAAAATAAATATATTGTAAATGATACTACCAAACACCCATCTTAAAGAAAGTTAAGCATATTATAACTGCATGGGAGGAGAAACAATAGTTTCTAGAAGCTTTTTTTAACCACAAAAGCTTAGAAATTTGAAATATAATTTTCATTATTTGTCCTTATGATTAAGACAAATAATTATTACTAGATACACTGTAGAGTGATGGGGAAGAACGGATATTGGACTTTCTTTGATATCTCTCAAGAAGGTACCAAGGTGACATTTTTCTGTAATACATTCAACATACAGTACTTGGCAAATAACCTACATCAAGAGTCCATTACAAAAAAAAAAAAACAAAACACTCAACATTCCTTTTAATTGTAATGCTTGGTATTCTATTATCTCAACATGAATTTAGCACCTATACTTTTGCTCCTCAAGCTAAGCTTATAGTCAAGCCAATTAAGTGACTGTCCTAGCCACATAATAGACTTGAGATAGTCTAATCATACTAAACTTATGTACAGATTAAGAAGAGAAAATAAGCAAGAAAAAAATCTATAACTACCATCTAGTAAATGATTCTTATGTCTCATTCACTGGGGTAAGCACTTTGCATGTATTATTCTCATTTAATCTTCTCAGAAACTATCAATTTCATTTTCAGATAAGAATCATGAGACCTGGACAGGTAAACACGGTCAGAGCCAGGATTTGAACACAATATAGTGAGGTCCAGCTGTATTTTTCCCCTGTTCAGCTCATCACTTGTTACAGCAACATTTACTTTCCCCCACTGATGTGAAATGACACCTTATAGTTACTAAATTCCCATTTGTATTTGTATTATATTTACTAAATTCCCATTTGTATACGTGGAAGACACAGTGTTTTAGGAAGAACAGCAACTCTACACAAGGACAAGAGACTTGAAGGTGAGACAACACTGCCAGCTCTGCAACTGTGACCTCACATGACAGTGCTCTCATTCCTAAACATGAGGGTTACATGAAGATAAATCATGTTTTTTGATAAAAAGAAACTGAACCCAGAGGGCAGGAGTGCAAGCAGCAATGATAAGCAAAGCAAATGGTAAATACATGGATAAATCTAAATAAACTTTAGCTATATAAATAGTAGTAATAATAGTTATTATAGTAGTCATAATCATTTGGGGTACAAAAACAAAGTGGAGCTAAAATGCTGTACAATAAGGACATGTAAGACAGAGGAGACATCTACATTAAAGTACTCTAAAGTGTTACAATTAAAGCATTAAAAAGAGGGTACAGATATTATTAACTTAGACTTTATGTATGTATGTCAAAATACATAGGTACCACTAAAGGATAGAAAGGGTACACTAAAGGAAGAAAGAGAATGTGTAATTTCCAAACCAATAGAGGAAGGGAGAAAAACAGAATAAAGAATACAAGAGCAGTATTAACAAACTCAGGACTAGAGGGTTGGGACAAATAAGCAAAGAAAAAGCATAATAAATGGAAAGCATTAAAATAATAATGAATGAATCCAAATTTATGAGTAATTACCATAAATGCAAATAGACTAAACTTGGCTGGTAAAAGATTTTATACAAAAGAACCCAAAATGTAGCTATTTGAGGTTTATAATAGACAATACTTATGCTAAAGGGAAAAAAACAGTCTTTGTGTTACATTTGAAATAAAAACAAAGAAAAGCAGGAAGTAAAAGACTGAAAGACATCAACGATTAATAAAAAGAAAGCTAATGTAGTTCTAGTTACATCAGATTTTTACTCAAAATGCATAATTGAGAAGTCATTATATAATGATAAAAAAAAATTCACCAGAAAAATACAACAATTCTGCCCCTGTAGACATACATGTAACATGGCCTCAAAACATATACAGCAGAAATTTATATAATTACATATAAAAATGGGCAAATTCACAATACTGGAAGATTTTTAACTTATGTCTCATGTACTGCCACATCAGTGAGTTCTTAGGACCGGTGACAGCACCTGTGATCTCATGTACATACATGTATATAATTTAGATCTTAGTCCTTTGATGGTTATAGGGTTGCAAATATTTTCATTGTGGCTTGTTTTTTCACTTTGTTCATGTTACCCCGTGACACAGAAGCTTTAAGTCTGATTATAGTCAGACTTCTCTATTCTCTTTCCTTTGTAGTTTTTAATTTTTTGTGAATTGAGAAACTCTTCTCATGTGTCCTTAAGAAACAGACACATACAAGGATCTAATTTTTCTACTGTTTGTAAAAAGAATAAAAATAACATATACCTATACACATGCATTAGGTATCTGTTCACATATATTCACGGGATTGATAAACTCTATCAACTCCTGGACAGCAGGTTACCAATGACGGTGATAATGGGAAGTGGCCAGTGGTTGCTTAAGGCTGTACTTAATTAAAAAAAAAATGAAGCAAATGTGGAAATATATTAAAATTGCCTGTTAAATATGGGTGGAAGATAATGGGGCTATTTGTTTATATGTTTGAAATATTTCATACATTTAACAAACTACTTTAAAGAGCTTTCCAAACTATACTCTGAGATGTTAAAAATTAAACATCCAACACTTCCTCCTGTCTTTTGACCACTCCGTTGTTGGGCCACCCTATGTTCTAACCACTCACAAATCTTGTGCCTGATAAGATGATACAGTTAGAAAGATGAACCAACCAAGTATAAGAAAACAAAGAAAAGAAGATTCCAGTCACTGGGGGAGCAAGATTTAATTAAGAGGTACCATACCCTAATGGTTAAGAGTAGGCTCCATCACTTCTTTGTGTAATCCTGGGCAAGTTATTACAAAACTTCTCTGGGTTTCAGTTTCCTCAGCTGTAAAATAGGACTAATATGTACTCCTTAGATAAATGAGGATTAAATAAAACAATGTATAGCTCACCAAAATGCTTGGCACATAGCAAGCACTCTAAAAGTAGCTCATTTTGTTCTAAGATAATAGCTTTTAGATAAACCATGAAATAATGAGAACTCTTTTCATTAGGCAACTCTGAAGGCAATTCCCAAGTTAAAAAGCTTTTGAGTATAGGCAGCAACAGCAGAATAAGTTAACAGACTTCTAAAATAGCTTGAAAGAATGATACTTACTTATGCAGTTGTTTATTATTATATCCACCATTAATAGTATACTTGTAAATAACATCTATGTACTCTAAGCATTTTACACTTATAATTTTATTTCAAGACCAGCTGGGGCAAATGATGAGACCCTGATATGGTCTGGCTCTGTGTCCCCACCGAAGTCTCATGTTGAATTTAATTCCCAGTGTTAGGGGGAGGGACCTGGTGGGAAGTGATTGGATTATGGGGACAGACTTCCCCCTTGTTCTCATGATAGTGAGTGAGTTCTCTCAAGATCTGATGGTTTAAAAATGTGTGGCACTTCCCCCTTCACTCTCTCCCACTCCTGCTCTGCCATGGTAAGACATGCTTGCTTCCCCTTCGCCTTTGACCATGATTGTTAAGTTTCCTGAGGCCTCCCAGCCATGCTTCCTGTACAGCTTGTGGAACGGTGAGTCAATTAAACCTCTTTTCTTCATAAGTTATCCAGTCTCAGGTAGTTCTTTATAGCGGTTTGAGAACGGGCTAACACAGACCCCATCTCAACAAAAAAAATTTTGTTAACTAGCTGGGTGTGTCTAGCTACTCAGGAGGTTGAGGCAGGAGGATCACTTGAGCCAAGGAGTTCAAGGCTGCAGTGAGCTAGGATTACACCACTGCATTCCAGTCTGGCTAGAATGATGAGGCTGGTCAGCTAGAATGTAGGAGACTGTCAGTTCTGTCTCAAAACAAAAAACAAAAACTATTGCTGCTATATCATACAAAAGTAATTTCAGGTCAGTTTGTATAGGGAAAAAAGCTACCTCCTTAAAGTCAGACGAAATACTTTTATAGGGTATAAATTTTATCAGTGCTAATTCTTTTTATACTTAAAACCTTAAGCCAAAATCACTACACTATCTTTTTAAAATAAGCGAATCATGTTAAGGAATACCTATCAATAAAATAATTGTAAAAGAGTAGAACACAGTATCATTTCAAAAGCTTCAATCTTTTATTCAGAGAAGATGAACTCAAAGTCTGGAAGTTCATGTGAATTTAAAAAAAAAACAACAAAAAACCCTTATTTAGCTCCACAATGTATAAGTATGACAGTGCTCAGTTTACCAAATAAATATATGTGCTACTGATTTGAGGCATCTTTAACAAAATTAAATTAATTTTCTTCAGATTTTATTGAAGTAGCAGTAATCCTTCAGCATATAAATACCAACCAGTGGGAAATGACGAGATGTTCTCATGTCAGCAATTATCCAGAGAGCATTCGTATTTTGCAACATAAAACTGATTAGAGACTATACTTTGTGGTTTTATGAATAACAGAATTGCTAAAAATTCCCTGTATCTGCTGGGTGGGATGGCTCATGCTTGTAATCCTAGCACTTTGGGAGGCTGAGATGGGTGGATCTCTTGAGCTCAGGAGTTCTAGACCAGCCTGGGCAACATGGCGAAACCCCATTTCTACTAAAAATACAAAAAATTCGCTGGGTGTGGTGCATGCACCTATAGTCCCAGCTACTCAGGGGGCTGAGGCGGGGGGATCACTTGAGCCCAGGGAGGCTGCAGTGAGCTGAGATTGTGCCACTGCACTCTAGCCTGGGTGACAAAGCAGAGATTGTCTAAAAAAAAAATTCCCTGTAGCCATGAAAAATATAATCCTAAAAGAATTTCCAAAGACAGTACTAAGAAAGCAGAATACTGAATACTAAAATTAAGAGACATGTATAATTTCTTCCTCTTATTTCTTTTTTAGAGACAGGATCTTGCTCTGTCACCCAGGCTAGAATGCAGTGGTGCATCCACTGCAGCCTTGAACTTCTAAGCTCAAGTGATCCTCCTGCCTCAGCCTCCCGAGTAACTAGGCAGACCCATTTAAATTTTAAAATTTCTTTGTAGAGGTGAGGTCTCATCATGTTGCCCGGACCTGTCTCAAACTCCTGGCCTCAAGTGATCCTCCCACCATGACCTTCAGAAGTGCTAGGATTACAGGCATGAGTCACCATGCCCAGCACTGACATGAGTAACTTCTTAAGTTTAAATGTGAAACTAAATAACCTGTGTAAATTATGGCTCTGTTACAAGGGCTTAAATTTCATCACTTGTACTCATATTAATCAGCTATATGTAAATCATCTGCATCATCTCCAGCTACACTAGACCACACTATATTTCAAAAATGTTATAAACTTCCAGTCATGCAAAACGATCCTTCATTAAAATGGTTTAAATTAAATAACTGTATTGGTTAACTTGAAGTCTCCAAAATTGTAACTACCTTCTAGTATCTGTTAAATTTCTAGCCACACCATGGCCATCCTAATTCAAAGGAACTTATTAACTATCCCCTTTATTTTCTTCTCTAAACTTTTCACTGGTGTCTATCACTGTTAAAGGTTTACCAATTGTGTTTTATCTAAACAATACTACAACTACACTTTTTTTTTTTTTGAGACAGAGTCTTACTCTAGTCACCCAGGCTGGAGTACAGTGGCGCGATCTCGGCTCACTGCAACCTCTGCCTCCGGGGTTCAAGTGATTTTCCTGCCTCAGCCTCCCAAGTAGCCAGGATTACGGTTGCCAGCCACCATGTCCAGCTAATTTTTTTTGTATTTTTAGTAGAGACAGGGTTTCACCATGTTGGCCAGGCTGGTTTCGAACTCCTGACCTCAGGTGATCTGCCTGCCTTGGCCTCCCAAAGTGCCAGGATTACACAATGTTTTTTTGAAAGCAGTTATCAAAAATTCAATTAAAAGTCAACCGGGCACGGTGGCTCATGCCTGTAATCCCAGCACTTTAGGAGGCTGAGGCGGGCGGATCATGAGGTCAGGAGTCCGAGACCAGCCTGATCAACATGGTGAAACCCCGTCTCTACTAAAAAAAAAAAAATATATATATATATAAGCCGGGTGTGGTGGCGCGCGCCTATAATCCCAGCTACTTAGGTGGCTGAGGCAGGAGAATCGCTTGAACCCAGGAGGTGAAAGTTGCAGTGAGCCAAGATCATGCCACTGCACTCCAGCCTGGGCGACAGAGCGAGACTCTGTCACAAAAAAAAAAAAAAAAAAAAAAAAAGGCAAAATATAATTTACTGATTTCTTATCTAGGACCAAAGTTCCTTACCTAAAAAACATGGAGAATTTTAGGAATTTCTCTGAAACTGTACATATTTCATGTACATACGTAGCTTTCTTAGAAAAGACTACTTTTATCTCATTCTTAAAGGGCTCTATGACATGCTCCCCCCAAAATGATTCATAACCACTGATCCTAATCTTTGTAATTTGCTAGGTTCTTTAAGCTTTTGCATACACTATATGTTATTTTGATATGTTTTAAGGCAATAGGTCAAGAATGGTGGTTCATGCCTATAATCCTAGCACTTTGGGAGTCCAGGGCAGGAGGATACCTCGAGGTCAGGAGTTCAAAACCTGCCTGGATAACAGAGCGAGACCCTTTCTCTACAAGAAGATTTTTAAAAAACAAAAAACAACTAGCTGTGCGTGGTGAAGCATGCCTGCAGTCCTAACTACTTGGGAGACTGAGGTGGGAGGATCACTTGAGCCCAGGAGATCAAGGTTGCAGTGCACTATGATCATATCACAGCACTTTAGCCTGGGTAATACAGTGAGACCCTAAAAAAACAACACGTCAGCCTGGGTAAACAGAGTGAGACTCTATCTCTCCTCTCTTTTTTTTTTGTAAGTTACATGGAACTCTGCTTGATAAGATATCTGATCTCTTTAAAAAATAAATAAATCATTAGGACACAACTGAAAGACACAAAGGTAAACAACCCAGAAAGACATATATGCCTTTGGGCAGAAAGATTCAACATCAAAAAGATTATCTTAAATGAGAATCCACCAAAAATATTAATGCTTGTTTTTTTCCTATGTAAGACAAATTGATTCTAAAATTTATGCAGAGAAAAAGAATTAAAATAACCTTGGGGTTCGGGGACAACAAGGGATATATAGTTCTACCAGATATTAAAACTTACAAAGCCTCAATAATTAAAACAGTATTAATCCTAGTGCATAAAGACACGAAAGACCAAGACCTGAATTTAAAGTCCAGAAACAGAGACAATACATATGAGAATTTGGTAAAAGTGGCATCTGTAGTGGCTATAAAAAAAAAAATGGGCCGAGCGCAGTGGCTCATGCCTGAAATCCCACTGCTATGGGAGACCGATGCACGTGGATCACTTGAGCTCAGTACTTCGAGAGCAGCCTGGACAATATGATGAAACCCTGTCTCTATGAAAAAATACAAAAAATTGGCCAGGCATGGTGGCACGTGCCTGTAATCCCAGCTACTCGGGAAGCTGAGGCACAAGAATCACTTGAACCTGGAAGGCAGAGGTTGCAGTGAGCAGAGATCACGCCACTGTACTCCAGCTTGGGTGACAAAGCAAGACTCCGTCACAAAAAACAAACAAACAAACAAAAAGGTGTTGGACAACTAGGTATCCATCTAGAAAAACAAAACCAAAGTTGGATTCATACTGCATATCATCTATCTAAATTCCAAATATGATAAAGATTTAAATGTAAAACGTACAAGCCACTGAGATATTATGTTTCTCCTGATGGAAGAACATAATTCTACTTATGAAGCTGTGCTGTCCTGTCCTGTGTCTCCTCCCCACCACCCTGAACCTCATCCAGTCTCTTGATCCAACTACCAATATTAGAGCAACAACTACTCCTCTGCAATCGGCAAAACCCAGACTGTGGACAACTTAGGACAAACCCAACCTAGTTTCTCCAGTAAATAATTTTAAAAGGTTGGGTGTGTGGGGGGGAAGCAAGATAAGGGAAGAACCTATAACCTATAAATTAAAAGAGACATAAAAAGTATCAAAGAATTGCAAATTAGGAAATTCATACGATCTTGAGTCAAATACATGGTTTAAAAAAAGGCATTTAGAAAACAATAATCAGAGACTTGTACATAGACTAGATAATGAAAATAATGACTTACTGTCAATTATTTAATAGGTATAACATGGCAATGAGGCTAGGTTAAAAAAAAAGAATCCTTTTCTTTTAGAGATACAACTAAAACATTTATGGGTGAGATATAATGGGAAAAAATAGGAAGTGTGGAAGTAGGGCATGGCTGGAGAAGAATTAGCCATGGGGTTTCTGGTAGTTCAAGGAAGGAGGGAAGCCATAAAAATACAAGTATTTTGATAAAAGTAGTATCTCTACTAAGGTTCATTCACTATCAGAATCTATTTGATTTATTAGTTTATACAGTGAGTTGTAACAGTGAGTTTAGATATCAAGTTTGGGATAAAGAGGAATACCACGTTATTCAATTATATGCAGTTATCGAGTTTTGGGAAAACAGGTAGCAAGAGTTTGGAAAGTGTGGAAAATTACTTTATAAACTTGGGAGTAGGAAAGGCCTTTAAATTTATATTCAAAATCCAGAAGCCATAGGGGGGGTGGGTGGGGGGGAAGAAAACTCCAATAAAATCGGAAGACAACTTGGAAAAAAATATTTTCAAATCATACAAAGGGCAAATCTCCATAATACAAAGAGTTCCTACAGATTTATTATGAAAAGGAGCACTGCAATAGAAAAATGGGCAAAATATATGAATATACAGTTCACAGAAAAAAATTCAAATGCTTCTTAAACATACAATATTCATTCCATCCCTAAAGAATGCAAATTAAAACTTTAATGAGATAACCATTTTTGACCAGCTGTGGTGGTTCATGCCTATAATTCCAGCCTTGGGAGGCCAAGGCGGGGGGATTGCTTGAACCCAGGAGTTCAACACCAGCCTGGGCAACACAGCAAGATACCATCTCAACAAAATAAATAACTAAATAAATAAACAGAATTAGCCAGGCTTGCTGGTACATGCCTGTAATCTGCTTGGGAGGGTGAGGCGGGAAGATTACTTGGGCCCAGGAGTTTAAGGCTGCAGTGAGCCCTGATCACACCACTGCACTTCAGGCTAGGCAACAGAGAGAGATCATGTCACAAAAAAGAAAAAAAACAAAAACAAAAAAACAGAGAGATAACCATTTTCTATCTATCATGTTGGCACGAAGTTCCATAACATTCTGTTGGCAAGACTATAGGAAAAGAGGCACTCTTTATCACAGGAATATGAGTAAACCGTAACAATGTGGCAATAGCTACCAAAATTATAAACACTCTAACCTTTGATCTAGCAATTCCGCTCCTGGATAATTTACTTTACTAATATTCCTGTATAAGTATGAAATGACATACACACAAGGTTATTAAATGTAGAATTTTTATAATAGTGAAAGACCAGAATCAATCCAAATGTCCTTCAATGTGGCATTGATTCACTAAATTCCAGAATGTCCATACAGTGGAATCCTATGTAGTGTAAAAACAAAGAGAGACAACAGAATAAGGAAACTAGATGCTAATATGGAAAGATCTCAACGATACGTAAAAAAAGCAATGCACAGAACAGTGTGTATGTGTTATTGATAGTTTATATAAAAAATAAGTAAATAAAAGGAGAAATAACATATGAGGCCAGGAGTTTGAGACCAGCCGGGCCAACATGGTGAAACCATGGTAAAAATATATGGTAAAATGCAAAAAATACATGGTAAAAATACAAAAATTAGCCGAGTGTGGTGGCACACGCCTGTAATCCCAGCTACTCAGGAGGCTGAGACATGAGAATCACTTGAACCTGGGAGGCAGAGGTTGCAGTGAGCCGAGATCGTGCCACTGCAATCCAGCCTGGACTACAGAGTGACACTCTGCTTCAAAAAAAAAAGAAAGAAAAGAAAAAAATATATACAGGAAAAAAGAGAAGATTTTTCTCCGTGTATTATTAAATATACATACTTTAATTTTTGAAACATGTGACCAAAAAAACCTTAAACACAAAAGCTATTGAAAATTTTGATTACCACAACTTCTTAAATTTAAATTTCAACTTCAAAAAATATTGCAATTTTCAGCACCACAGGAAAGGTTAAAAAAATGCAATTAAGTAAAAAACAACGACAAAAAACTTCTGTAGAAAAACAAATGTATCTTACATAAAATCAGACAATAGTCTGAAAAATATCAGAGCATTTTAATGCACAGATACAAAAACACATGGCTCTAAAAACATAAGAAAAGTATCTTTAACTCACATATACCATAGTTACTGAGTTACATAAGCAACCAAGAGGATTCAGGTCAAGTTCAAAGGTGTATCAGTGCCTCAGCCTTTTTGGCATCAGGGACCAATTTTGTGGAAGACAATTTTTCCACAGACCTGGAGAAGTGGAGGAGGGGGGCATAGTTTGGGGATGATTCAAGTGCATTACATTTATCATTAGACTCTCATAAGAAGCGAGCAACCCCCCTCGCATGCACAGTTCACAATAGGGTTTGCAATCCTATGAGAATCCAGTGCCGCTGCTGATGTGACAGGAAGTGGAGCTCTAGCCCACAGCTCACCTCCTGCTGTGCGGCCCAGTTCCTAACAGGCCATAGACCAGTACCAGTCTGTGGCTGCAGGGGCTGGAGATCCTTGGGGTATATCATTCTCAGATTCCTTCCTCATTTTTCTCTAAAATAACTTTATGAACATCAGATTTATAGGACGGGGAAAAAATTTTTATTTTCTACTTACATTTTCATTTTTCAAGATGAGTTTCAGGATTGCTTCTCTCTGTTTTAAAGCCTAAAAGCAGGATAATTTCCAGTTAGCATTTTTATTTTTTATTTTTTTAAAAAGATCAAGTAGTGTTCCTAATATTTTGTCCCTTCTAAAGTCTCTCTCAATACTTATAAGGAGATGACAGAAACTTTGAAGAGGTCAAAGCAACTAGATTCAAGGCTCTAGAGTAATTATCTCTGGTTCTCCTACTGAACTGTATCTTCTTACTCTCATCCCCAGTGCCTAGTACAATGTTTGGGAAATAACACACCTTTAATCTTTAATGAGTAAATGAATATCTATGACTATAATGTCTTCCCTCTATAGTTCAGCAATCTTCATTTTTTTTCCCTTCATGCAGGAAACTCATGAAAACTCACCATAAAATTTATTATCAGTAATTCAAAGAGATGGCAACAGTAACTTCTCAGTTCCTCCATTTCCTTCTCCTTCTTTGACCACTAATTTATATTAGTGAATTTTAATTTAGTGCTGATGATATATTTGTTTACATGTCTGTATGCTTTTCCCCCAGTGACAATTCCTATTTTTACACCATACAATAAATACAAACTACATTTAGCTCCTTTTATAGAATCCCTCAGCTATATAGTCAATATAGATGCTTCTTAAAACTATCATGGCTGAATTTATCCCTATTCCCACAAACATCGACAAAGCAGAGCTGGTTACAATGACTACCAAATCAAATTACTTGAAAAACAAACCAAACTCTGCTCTTTCTGTAATTTAAGTGTGTCAAGTAGGAAGGTTAATTTGATATGTCATGTGATCACCAACAAATACTCTGTTAAACATTTCACTTGGAGAAAAGTTTTAAGATTAACCATACACTTTACATCATATTACATAAGAAAAAAAACTAACCTATAAAGCGTATTCACTAAAATGGAATAAAATGGAGGTTACAAATTTCCATTTCTATGTTAACACTATACAAATTTATAATAAACTTGATAAAACCTGTTACAACCCATTTTGATTACTCACACGACATATTAAATTTACAACTTTAATTGTGGCTACTTTCCATGCTACTGTATCCTATGTTCTATTGTACTGTACATCAAAAACCATAGCTGGCCAGCCACAGTGGCTCATGCCAGTAATCCTAACACTTTGGGAGGCAAAGGTAGGAGGGTCCCTTGAGGCCAGGAGTTGAGACTAGCCTGGGCAACATAGTGAGACCCGTCTGTAAAAAAATTCAAAAATTAGCCAAACGTGGTGGTGCATGCCTATAGTCCTAACTACTCAGGAGGCTCAGGTGGAAAGACTGTTTGAGCCCAAGAGTCAAGGCTGCAGTGGGCTATAATTTATAATTGTACGGCTGACAGAGCAAGACTCTGTCTTTAAAAAAAGAATAAAATTTAAAAAACCCTTAATTGTCCATTGTACTAACTATTGGATTAGTGATAGAGATTCTATAAATTATCTTCAGAACCAATTAGGTAAACAAATTTTTAAAAAAGTGTTCTGATGTCTTGCTTACAAAATCAAAACTCTTGTGCAAAGCATATAAAGTTCACCTAAACCCAGAAGCAGTCTACCTTTTCAGCCTCCTCTCCATCTATATTCCTTGGTGCTGCGCTCACCAAACTACCCTCAGAACTCACCATTAAACAGTGCTTCCACAAATTCTTGACTTTGTTCATTCTGGCAGGAAAGCCCTTCCTTGTCTCATTTGCCTGTCAAATTCCTATCATCCTTCAAGGTCCAGCTGGATTCTGTAAATTCCATGGACTTCCCTGACAGAATATTAGTTTTCATCAACATCTCAGGCTCTCATAGCTCTTTAAACATACCTTCATAAAGCATATTTTACATTATTTATTTCTGTGTCTGCCTCTCCAAAACAGAATTCTTCAAGGACCAGGCCCATGTCCCATCCACCAGATCCTAGCAGGTCTGTGACACATATTAATGCTCAATAAATATTAGTCATACTAGGCTGGGTGCAGTGACTCATGCCTGTAATCCCACTTTTGGAGGCTGAGGCAGGCATATCATCTGAGGTCAGGAGTTCGAGACCAGCCTGGCCAACATGGTGAAACCCCGTCTCTACTAATAATACAAAAATTAGCAGGGCATGGTGGTGGGCGCCTGTAATCCCAACTTATTGGGAGGCTGAGGCGGGCTCGCTTTAACCTGGGAAGCAGAGATTGCAGTGAGCCAAGATCGCGTCACTGCACTCCAGCCTGGGTGACAGGCAAGACTCTGTCTCAAAGAAAAAAAAAAAATCAGTCATACTAAATAAATTTTATAGTCTCCTAAATTAAGTTTAAAAATCTTTTCATTGATTCATTGGGTAAATTTTCTAAGGATGTGCACACACTTAACCACTTTATTACAGTTGTAGCTATAGTAAAGAGTTGATCAGAGTAATTTTATAGAGTCCATAACCATCAATCTTTCAGAGATCATGTTTACTACCAAAAACCAATCTGATAAATTACAGAATATAAATGGGACAAATGATTTTTAGCCAGATTATAAATGGAATTAGAGTAAGTTCCTCTAAATGGCAACACATGTAACATGCTGATTGTATGGAACATATTTTCTACTAGTAAAACCTGTTTTTTCTTTCCTTTGCAGTCTGAAGGCAGACAGAATTCAAGATTTGAAGATCTGTGCCAAAATTATAGTGTACTGGTAAGTCATAATCATCTACTAGAGGGGTACTTTTTAACTAACAAAAAATGCTAGAAAGAAGGCAGAACTGGTTTAACACCATCTAAGCGTTTGCATTCTTAAGGTAAACTATGATATCTACTGGAATCATTAATCCTATCAGGGAAGCACTGACTACATCTGCCAATACTCAATCAAATAAATCCCTGTTGTTGTTCATGGCAGGCCTTCTGAATAGAACAATTCTTCAAGCCAAATTTCTCCAATTCTATTCTATGCTAAACCAAAACTATAATTTAGATTTTCTTATGTATCTTCCTGTATAGATGACTTCCTATATCCTAAAGTAAATCACTAAAATAGCCAGGCAAACTTGAGATAACTATATATATATACTTTGAAGAGAAGCAAGTAACACTAATCTTAGGATAGAAATAGAGAGTGGAAAGGACAAAGAAGCTACTGTCAGGGTTTCTGCCCCATTCCTTCCCTGTCATAAGCACCCCTATATGACAAAATATTCCCTTCTTAAAATTAAAGGTGAAGACCTATAAAAAGGTGAGTATTTAACTCTTCATAATATCAATCAAGACCACCTACAGGCTGGTTGATATGAAATCTTGTAGGCATTCTTCTCATTATAGCCGAGTCAAGGTCCTGAGGACGATTGGTAGCTCCCATTACTATGACCTAAGTGTATAAAGAAGACAGAAGGTATTAAATCTACCAATTATACTCCTCTGAGAATGTTATTACTAGGGCTTAGTTTTAAAAATTAAGTGGTATTTTAACTAAATCCTTTGTAAGAAATCTGATTTTAAATCACTATTATTCAACTATTTACAGGTATAAATTGAAGTTAATCCTAAATAAATCAAATATTAGCAAAACTGGAAAACTAATGCATTTCACTTCATGTCTTTCTAGAAATTAAAGTATGTAATGTTCAGTTGCAAATAGCCACTGAAAAATTATTAAAATTTGCTTTTAAAAAACTATTGTATTTTGCAAAATATGGTGCTTAATGAATACATGTTGAATGACTAAAACCCATTATGTTATAGCTTGGGTATACAGTTTGGGAGTATAAGGGGATAATTCAAGTCCTTAAATAATAATATTATGGAGAGAATCATTTCCCCTTAATAAGTCTGAAGATTCTGGTAACTGTAATAGATACTGTGTACTTTTTCTCTATATTTCACATCATCATCTCATGGTACTATCAGCACTGCAGGTGATAGCTTCTCAATGCGAAATAAAGTCTCAAGTAATCCAACTTTAAACAAAGATAACAGAGTATAAGCAAACATCAAAATGCTGGGAAGAACTCTTTTTAAAAATGCTGGCAGCCCTGCCAACCTCTGAGTCTATGTCACTTATTTATAAAGGATGTAGAGATTAAAAAAAAAAAAAGAACTTTAAAAATAAACATGAATAAAAACAAAGATATATAAAACAAGTTAATTTCTGAAGGACATCAATATTACCTTTACTGTTGATACTTCAGTATAACCCAGTAACAATACACATCTGCTATCCAAAGTGAAATTTATTGGTATTCCATGGAAACACATTTCTCTAACATTACCTTATTTCTCCCTAAGAGGTTTTACATTTCTGAAATAATCCAAATCTTATATCCTACTTCTACTCTACACTGAATGACATTCAGGAGCCTCAGAGCCCAATTACTTTCAATTAACTGTGAGAGTTTGCCACCTAGAGGAAGAAAATATAAACACAAATTTGAAAAATGTTAGTTCCACAACACAACATAATGCAAGTTTGTATTTGTGTTAAGTGGTCCTAAAATCAAAATATTAATGCTCATATTTATTTTTCTTTATTTTCTTTCTTTCTTTCTTTTTTTTTTTGAAGACAGAAAGTAGCTGGGACTACAGGCACATGCCACTGTGCCTAGCTGATTTTTCCGTCTTTAGTAGAGACAAGGTCTCACTATGTTGCCTATGCTGGTCTGAAACCTCTGGGCTCAAGCGATCCTCCCCACTCAGCCTCCCAAAGTGCTGGGATTACAGATGTGAAACACCACACCCAGCCTCTTTATTGACTTTTTACAACTCAATAAAATTAATAAAAAAGAAAAAATTTCTTCCAAATTTAAAACAAACAAATCTTAAAAGTGGGTGAATGAACTAAAAGCATAAGATAATGAATGAGTATAAGGAAAAAACATCACAAAAGACACTGTGGTTAAGTCAATATTTGGGGGGGAAAAAGGGAAATGGCCAGCATTTGAAGAAACATAGGACAAAGCAAAACAAAATTTAAAAGCCAGTATAGAGGATGGAATACTAAAAAATAGAACCAAGGAATCCAAATAAAACTAGTAAAACATGGCCTATTGAGTATGTATAACAGATACTCATGATGAAAAAGCAAAAGTGATTGAAATCACGTGTAGTTTCACATAAAGAAGCAAATTCTAAGGAGTAATTTTAAGCAGCAAAAGCAGAGAACCTTTTCATATATATTAATTCAATACAAATGAGCTAAAATATAAAACAGGAAGTGACAGTAATTTTTTACTACTTAAGAAACAAAATCAATGCTCCTTTTATGTGTTAGTTGTTCAAACTTTTAAAAAAATCTTTATTTTCTGTTCCTGCCTTCATTTGCCAAGAATCATGGCCTCCAGCTTCATCTGGAGGAGGGAGAGGATCAGGAAAAATAACTAATGGATACTAGGCTTAATACCTGGGTATGAAATAATCTGTACAACGAACTCCCCAAGACACAAATTTATCTATGTAACAAACCTGCACATATACCCCTGAATTTAAAATAAAAGTTTAAAAAAAACTCTTTAAAACAAAACATAATTTTTTTATCATTTCACATTTAAAATAATCAGACCTAAATTTACATCCCAAAACTTTAACTTCATCAATGAATACCCTAAAAACACTATCTTTTATGTCTCATGTCTCTCAAGAGGAAGAATATGTCATCAGTCACCAAGGTTTCCAGAAACAGTGACCGGTTTCATTGAGCCGTTCTCTATTTCTATTTCCTTGGTGACCATATTACAAGAAAGCTAGCTAGGGTACTGGGCTCTCTTCATAATCATAGAAAAGACAATTCTAGAGAAGAGCTAACTGGTTCATATGAAAGTAGAATATGTCTAAAACTATTACTCAAAATTAATAATATCAACTTTAACCCCCGCCCCCAAAATACAATAAAGGTTAAAAAGTGACCGCAGTTTAATAAAAAGGCAGCAGCATTTGCTCTCTCAAATCAAAACTCATCATAATGAAAACAGTAATTGCTATTAGTGCAATAAGGAATTTTGGTTCTGAAAACTCTGTTTTAAGTTATGCTGTACCAGAATCATACTGTGGAGCTATAGATGAAGTGGCTCTGGAGAAGACTTCATCCAATTGCCTCTATATCCCCTGCTGAAAATAGTTGAACACTATGCTCTGACAGGGTACATAATATTAAGATATTTTCTCTTACATGGGCTAACTATCCAATTGTCTAAGTGCTTTAAGTATTATTTCTCAGGGAGAATAATTAGTTTTTGGCAACCTGTACATGAGTCCCATTGATAAACCGCATAGATTTATCAAAACCAATTATTAATGAAAAATGTTTCTATTAATGTTACCTAAATTTATCTATGTTATGTTTTTTCTTGAACCATTCAACAAAAGCTAAAGGCTGTTTTCCTCATAATAAAACTACACTTTCACAAACATAATGTAGAAGGAGGACATGTGGCTTAATTTTCTTCTTGAGAATGATGTTGTTCAGACTTTTGACTTATGCTAATGCGGTGGGCTTAAGGGATCCTTAAACCCTCTGGCCACAAAAAGAAAATATTTAAAAGACTCAAATAAATTAATCTACAATTTTGCAAAGAAGTAAACGAATTAAGCTAAGGCTGGAGGTAAAGCCTATGTACTTAACTCAGGTTAATTCCTCATAACAGTTCTGAGGTAGGTAATATTCCTCCCTTTTTATAGATATTATTCCCTCTATACAGATACAGAGTGATTATAAAATTTGGCCAAGGCTACACAGCTTGTTGATGCCAGGGTTCTGATTTTCTAATCCAATTAGAAACATGAGTAATAAGCAAGAGCCTATCAAAACTGACCTGGTAGATGTGAAAAACAATCTAAGAATTTCTAAAACTGAAAAATATAATACTTGAAATAATAAGCTCAATGAAAGAGTCAGATAGTAGAAGAGCTTCAAATGAACCAGAAGAAAGGAAAAGAAATTATCCAGGACATAGCACAGAAAGACAGAAAATATGAAAGAGACGTTAAAAAAGACATGAAATAGGCCAGGCACAGTGGCTTAACCTGTAATGCCAGCCAAACTTGGGAGGCCAAAGCGGGCAGACTGCTTGAGCTCAGGAGTTCAAGACCAGCCTGAGCAAGATAATGAAACTCTGTCTCTACAAAAAAAACACCAAAATTAGCCAGGTGTGGTGGCGTGCACCTGTAGTCCCAGAGACTTGGGGTGCTAAGGCAGGAGAATCGCTTGAGCCCAGGAGGTTGAGGTTGCAGTGAGAGCCATGTTCACGCCACTGCATTCCAACCTGGGCAACAGAGTGAGACCCTGTCTCAACAAAACAAAACAAAACATGAAATAGAAATAAGGTCCTACATATATCCAACTTGCATTCCAGAAGGAGATAAAACATGGAGAACAATAATTGAAGAAATAATAACTGAATTTTAAATAATTCTAAATATAATACTTTTTTTAAAAAGGCAAAAACAGATTACAAAATAGGAAATACTAAAGTTGGCTGGGCGCAGTGGTTCATGCCTATAATCCCAGCACTTCAGGAGGGTGAGGTGGGTGGATCAGTTGAGGTCAGGAGTTCAAGACTAGCCTGGCCAACATAGTGAAACCCAGTCTCTACTAAAAATACAAAAATTAGCTGGGCATGGTAGTGCACGTCTGTAACCCCAGCTACTTGGGAGGCTGAAGCAGGAGAATCGCTTGAACCCGGAAGGCGGAGGTTGCAGTGAGCCGACATCACACCACTGTACTCCAGCCTGGGCGACAGAGCAAGACTCCATCTCAAAAAAAAAAAAAAAAAAAAAGAGAAAATACTAAAGTTAAAACAACAAAAGAACACTGTTAACTTTTCCATGAGATATAAGTAAGTGATTCATTAAAAAAAAAAAAAAAAAAAGGGAAAATGGTTCTAGGATGTTTATTTCCAGCAATCTGGCTGAAAAAACAAACATGCCAGATTAACTTCTTTTTAACTTTCTTTTAAACCACTAAGCTGACAAGAAAGCACAGAATATTCAGAGGCCAAAAACTAAATGAAAACTGGGAACCTGAAGAGGAAAACTGAAAAATAAAGCTCTCTTTCTCTTTGGTCACATAACAGGGAACAAGCTATGGTTTCACAGCCATACAGGAGGAAGAGGAAAAGCCTAGGATACAAGTCTGTCTCGTATAAAATTGGGATCCTAAAGATAGGCATAGGTGACAGGAAGTGAGAAAGTGTTGTCAGTTTCAGCTACTAATGAACTCTGTCAAATGAAAATCAGGGAAGTGACTAAGAATTGACAGTATAAGGAATTATGGTGAAAGTCAAAAGTAAGAACCGAGGAAAACAGAAAGAACAGTTTTTTAAAAAAATGTACACAATACCCACGGACACTAGTCACTTCCTCTCCTTAGCACTGTAGGTTCTGAAAATTCCAAGGACAGGCTTTACTCTGGTGTTTTCTCTTCTGCTGTGTCTGTTTCAGGCATTTAGGCAATCTACTAATGTTTTGGTAAACACGAAGTCCTCAAATTGGATAAAGTTTATACAAACCATATTCTTTTGGATCCTTATCACTTAGTCATAAGTGTAAATAATTATGAAAAAAAAGTTTGTACAAAAGCATAGTAAGTAGCCCAGCAAATTTTCTATTAAGAACAAAAAAACCAACACAAGTTGAGGGCAGATTTTATTCAAATACCTGGCAGCTGTGATCAGTATCCAATCCATCCCAGAGACTCATAAACTGAGCTTTCATCATGGCTGTAGCTTCATGGTCAGAACTTGAACGGTTTCGTAGAAAGGAGTCTAGAAGTAAAAGGTCCTTAACCTTAGAAATTAAGAATTAATTATTTACCCTTTTTTTTGAGACAGGGTCTCACTCTGTTGCCCAGGCTGGGGTGCAATGGCGCAATTACAGCACATTGCAACCTCGAACTCCCAGGCTTAAGTGATCCTCCTGCCTCAGCCTCTCGAGTAGCTAGGACCACAGGTATGTGCCACCATGCGGAGCTAATTTTTTTTTTATTTTCTGTAGAGACAGGTTGACTATGTTGTCAAGGCTGGTCTTGAACTCCTGGCCTCAAGTGATTCTCCTGCCTTGGCCTCTCAAAGTGCTGGGATTACAGGCATGAGCCACCATGCCTAGCCTTATTTTATTTACTCTTTATGTAATTTCAAATGTTCCTAACATACTGAAATGATAAAACGTTTTAGATGATGGGTATTCTAATTACCCTGGTCTGATCACTATATACTATAGTGATCATTGAAATGTCACTCTGTACCCCATAAATATGTGCAATTATTATGTCAATTAAGAAAAATGAAAAGAAAAAAAGTGTTTTAAAGCTGAAAACTTTATGAAAGATTACAAAAAAATTGGGCTATGTGTTTTAGACATTCTGATACAATAAACTTGGTAAATTATTAGGCAAATTAAAACACAATCATTCATAATTTTTGTTTCTTCTCTAAAAATACATTCATGACAACATATGTAAGAAAAATGAAGGATCTAGTACTGAGAGGCTGGAAGAGTTATGTGGAATCTCAGATGAAAGCCTGTGTGTTTTGCCTCTAACTTTCTAGGTCACCTGAACCCTATGTGCTCTTAGTTATGTTGCATACTTTTTTCTCATGCAGTTTCCTGTTAATAAATAAAAACGACATGGAAAAATGAGCAAAACACTATTAAGCCGAAAAATGTAGGACAGAAAATGATTTAAAACATATATGCTGGAATGTACATACATATGTTATACAAGGTAAAAAAAGGTTTTATGGAAATATACCAAAATGCTAATTACGTTGTATTATAGCTCAGGGATGGATTTAAGGACAAGTTTAACTTTCTCTTTTAAATTATTTTCTGTCTTCCAAATTATCTACAATGAACATGAAATGCTTTTTTAAAAAAAGGGGAAAACAATTTTATTTTAGAATATAAGACTGAAAGGTGCTACATCCTAATAATTTAAAAAAAAAAACAGTAAAAATAAATCTAGGATTTTCTAGTACAATCCCCATTTCAAATGTTTTGTCTTATATCCCTATAAATCACTTTTATTTCTGAATAACTATTACATTTTAGCATTGAAACTACAACACAAACTTTGTCGATCATACATGCAAGTGGCACAAAAATATCTTGTAATGTGCTATGTCCACACTTCAAAAAAGTATTTTTTATAAAAAGTAATTTCAGCAAAAACACATTACCATGACACATGAGAGTCCTGCAATGGCAAACATATATCCTAGATTTATTTAAAGTTTAATTCTGTAAAATCTGTCCTATCATTGGACTATAATTCAAACTAACCCATCTATTCTGAAGGTGGAAAAACCAGTCATTTTAAAACTGCCTAATTTTTAAAGATAAATTTTAAAATTCAACTGCCTACTTAATCTTCCTAATCTTCACTAAGTGGTTTTGGCAAGATGGTTACTTAAAATAATATGAAAAAATGCTAGATATGTATAAATAATTACATCCATCATTAAATTGTGAGTGGATTAAAGTCTCCAAATACATGACTAAGATATTAGAATAAATTAAAAAAAAAAAAAAAAAAAAAACTCAAGGCAGGCAGATCACTCAAGCCAGGGGTTCGAGACCAGGCTGGGCAACATGGCAAAACCCCTCCTCTATTCAAAAAAAAATTTTTTTTAAACAACTATATGCTTGCTTAGAAGAAACATACTATAAATATAAGGACTCGGAATGATCAAAAAATAGAAAATGACACAGGTTGAGTATCCCTCCCTTATCCAAGATGCTGAGGACCAGAAGTGTTTCAAATTTCAGATTTTGGAATATTTGCATATACATAATGATATGATATCTTGGGGATAGAACCCAAGTCCGGATATGAAATTCATCTATGTTTGATATATACCTTATACACATAGAATGAAGGTAATTTAATACAGTATTTTACATAATTTTGTGCATGAAACAAAGTTTTGACTGAGGTTTGACCACAATCTGTTATATGAGGTCAGGCATGAAAGTTTTCCACTTGTGGCATCATGTTGTTGCTCAAAAACTTTCGAATTTTGGAGTACTTTGTATCTTGGATTTTTGGATTACAGATGTTCAATCTGTATCTGCAAACACAAACAAAAAATTGGATAGACTTTTTTTTTATAAAAGTAAATGCACATCTGACAAATGGTGCTGGAGCAATTGGACATTCATCGGCAAAAAAACGGACCAACACAGACTGTAATTTTCACAAAAATTAACACAAAATGGATCACAAATATACATGTAAAACACAAAACTATAAAACTTCTAGGAAATAATATAGAAGAAAATCTAGGTGACCTTGGACTTGATTAATTTTTATGTCTAACACCAAAAGCATGATCCATCAAAAATAAATGTGTAAGTTGGACTTAAAATTCCTGGCTGGGCATGGTGGCACTTTGGGAGGCCGAGGTGGGTGGATCACTTGAGGTCAGGAGTTTGAGAGACCAGCCTGACCAACATGGTGAAACCTCATCTCTACTAAAAATACAAAATTGGCTGGGCATGGTGGCGAATGCCTATAATCCCAGCTACTTGGGAGGCTGAGGCAGGAGAATCACTTGAATCCAGGAGACAGAGGTTGCAGAGAGCTGAGGTCGTGCCACTGCACTCCAGCCTGGGCAACAAGAGTGAAACTCTGTCTCAAAAAATATATAAAATAAAATAAAACAAAATAAATAAAATAAAATTCGTGCTATGTGAAAGATACTGCTAAGGAAATGAAATGACAAGCCACAGACTGGCAAAAAATATTTGCAAACACATACCTGGTAAAGGACTTGTACCCAAAATATAAAAAGAACTCTTAAAGTTCAACAATAAGATAATAACCTAATTGTTGTTCCCAACACAAATAAATGATAAATCTTTGAGGTGATGGATATTCCAATTAGCCTGATTTGCTCATTGCATAGGTGCCTCATACATATGTACAATTATTATGTATCAATAAAAAATTAAAAAATCAAACAATAAAAAATATTACAATTGTTTCAAAATGGGAAAAACATTTGAACAGACACCTCAACAAAGATACACAGATGACAAATAAGCACATGAAACAATGTTCCACATCATGTCATTACGAAAATGCAAATTTTAAAAATGGGAAACTATTAGATACCTATATATCTATTACAATAGCTAAAAATCCCCAAAATTAATAAAACCAAATGCTAGAGAAGATGTATACCAATAGGAACCTCAGTTATTGCTGGTGGAAATGCAAAATGGTACAGCCACTTTGGAAGACAGTTTGCTAGTGTCTTACAAAACTAAACACTGTTTTACCATGTGATCAAGCTGTGGTACTCTTAGGTATTTCACCCAGTTGAGATGCAACCTGTGTCCACAGGAAAACCTACACATGATGCTGTCAGCAGCATTACTCCTAATTGCCCAAAACAAGGTGTCATTTTAATAGACGAATGGAAAAACTAACTGTGGTACATCTACATAATAGAATATTATTTAGCAATAAAAATAAGCTATCAAATCATGAAAAGATGTGGAGGAAACTTAAATGCATATTGCTAAGGGAAAGAAGCCAGTCTGAAAAGATTACATAATGTATGACTCCAACTGTAACATTACAGAAAAGGTAAAACTATAGAGACAGTAAAAAAAGATCAGCGGATGCTAGCAGTTTGGGAGGAAAAGGGAAGGACAAATATTTGATACTATTGTGTATGAGACTGTAATGATAAATAAAAAACATTATGCTTTGTCAAAGCCCAAAGAACTGTGCAACACAAAGAATGAACCTTAAACTATGGACTTTGGTTAATAACAATGTATCAATACTGGTTCATTATTAAATGTCTCATGCTAGTATTAATACTAGGAGAAACTATATATCTGGGGGGCATATGGGAACTCTCTATATGATTTCTGCTCAATTCTGCAAACTTAAAACCATTATTAAAAATAAAGACTATTAATGTATTTTAGAAAAGGTTAATGAAGATATGAGGTTGCAAGAAACAAAGAAAAAAAATCCCAGAGTTCAGAAAAAAGTGGAACTGAACATAAGAGTTGGAAAACCTTGATGTGATTATGCTACCGTCTGTTGTGTTTGTATACACAGCAGGTATGCATATAGACATATACAGCATCAAAAGGTTCTGCTTTGTTGTTAACATCTACATACAGGCTGAAGCCAAGATGCTTGGAAGGATTAACACTCACAGAAAGTGTAGACAAGAAAAAAAATTTTGCTCGTCACTGTACAAGGAAACTTGTCCATCTTTGCCTGGGCTCTGAGGGGTAAAAATGTCCTCCTTACACAAAAAACTAGGACCATGGGGAGTCTCTTTCAGGTATGAAGTCTAAATTTGTACCACCATTCAGTCTGGGAACACACAAACTGAGAAATTATCTAAAATTGGTTTTGAACGATCAGACCCCTGAAGTTCTAAGCTGAGGACAGAAAAAGTACTCTGGATCTTCTTAGGCAAAAAAGAATTCTCATATAAAAGCAAGCCTAAAGCCATCTAATGTTACAAATGACACAAGGAAACAAACCACTATTAAAAAAAAGTCAACATAAAGTAAAATTAGAATTTCAGAAAAGAGCAATTCAAAAACTACACAAAAATAGTATGTTTAAAATTCTAAAGATATAAAAGGGATTGAAATTCTAAAATAACAAGCTACAGTAAAAAAAGGGAAACATTTTATAAAGAACCAAACAGAACTTCTAAAGTTCAAATATAATCAACAAAAAACAAACCCAATAGTTGAAAGATTAAATATAGCCAAGGAAAGAATTGCCTTTATAATCTACTCAAAAATTGAATTATTTTTAAGTTGTACCATTATTTTGTGTACCAACAAGAAACTTAAAATGCTGCCAACTCAATTGTAACATGCTATCCTAATTTCGAAGATGTTAAAATGTAAAAAACAAAACAGTATGTCTTAGAATTGATGAAATACTGTACAGAACTAAATGACAAACTGTAGAAATGACTCAAAATGGAAGAGATGAAGAATTTTTTTTTTGAAGATGGGGTCTTGCTCTGTTGCCCAGGCTGCAGTGCAGTGGCATGACCTATGCTCACTGAATATCCTCAATCTCCTGGGCTCAAGTGATCCTCTCACCTCAGCCTCCCAAGTAGCTGGGACTAGAGGCATGCGTTACCACACCCGGCTAATTTTTGTATTTTTTTTTGTAGATATGGGGTCTTACATGTTGTCCAGGCTGGTCTCAAATTATTGGACTCAAGGAAACCTCCTGCCTTGGCCTCTCCAAGTGCTGGGATTACAGATGTGAGCCACCACACCTGGCCTGAGAATTGTTTTTTTTTTTAATGGGAACATTGCAACATGCAAATATATACAATGGCTGAGAAATCCTCCAGAATTAATGAAAGTCACACATCCTCAGATAAGTGGCTTAGCAGGCTAAATGAAAATAAATGCAGACCTAGAAAAAAACCATACTTAAATAGCAGAATGACATGAAAATCTAACAGCAACTAGAGAGAAAGGATAGATTACTTACAAATATAGGGCAATAAGGAGAATTCTCAAAAGCAACAAGATTAAAAAGATTAGAATGCAGTGGAATTGTAGCTTTAAGACGCTGAATGTGATTCTGTATCATTTAAGAGAGAAAGTAGAATTAACACATGTTCACACACAGGAAGAATCTACTCTTTGTACAACCTTTGCTGAAAGAACTTTGAAAGACTTCAGTAAAAACAAAGTTAAATCCAGAAAAGACAAGATCAAACAAGCAATGGTGAGCAAAAAACCTAGCAAACGTGGCACTAAACAAGCAATGCCAGTATAAAATAGCAATTAATATCGAAGGTAGAAGAAAAATAAAATGTTTAACAATAACATGTAAGAGATGAGATATTATTATTACCTAAGAGTTCTAAGTTCTCTGTGAATTATTTGGAAGGAAGGTAGAGATTACCCTTGACTTTTAAGTTGATATTCTAAACGTTTCACTAAAGTAAAAGAACGTATAACTTCTAAACCTGTAGCAAGAAAAAGGGAATAAAGCAAAAAAGTCTACTAGACTGGTAAATTAAAAGCAAAAAATAATATAGCAGAAGTAAATCAGCTAGGCGTTATAATCCCAGCACTTTAGGAGGCTGAGGCAGGAGGATCATTGGACCCCAGGAGTTGGGGACCAACCTAGGCAACATAGTGAGACTTCGTCTCTACAAAAAAATTAAAACATTAGCAGGGCATGGTGGTACACGCCTGTATTCTCAGCTACTTGAAAGGTTGAGGCAGGAGGATCGCTTGAGCCGGGGAGGTCAAGGTTGCAGTGAGTCATGGTTGTGCCACTGCAATCCAGCCATGACAGAGCGTGAAAAAAAAAAAAAGAAATCTGAATTATCTCAGCTATCATAACAAAATCAAACTAATCACACTTCCCAGTTAAAGAGAAGCTTAGATTAAAATTTTTAGACAATATAGCTAATAGGCCAGGTGTGGTGGACACACCTGTAATCGCAATGCTTTGGGAGGCCAAGGCAGGGCAGATTGCTTGGCCCCAAGAGTTTTAGACCATCCTGGGCAACATGGAGAAACCCTGACTCTACAAAAATTAGTGGTGTGTGGTAGCACACACCTGTGGTCCCAGCTACTCAGGAGGCTGAGGTGGAAGGTTCACTTGAGCCTGGGGAGGTTGAGGCTGCAGTGAGCCATGATCACGCCACTGCATTCCAGCCTGGGTAACAGAGTGAGATGCTGTCTTAAAAAAAAACAAAAACAAAATAAACTAGCTATATATTCCTCTGTTCAAGATGCACACCAAAACACCAAAATAACTGGAGTAAATTGATGAGAAAAGATACATAAAGCAAACAAGTAACCAAAACAAAGCTATACTACATATTTGTATCTATTTTTCTCTCTACATATTTACATAGCCTATCATACTAAATTTAACAATAATAAAATATAATTCAAAACTACAGTAATAAAGCTATATAAATATATATCCAATACTAATAATACTGTATTAGTATAACTATATATATTTATATATACATCGTACCAGGAACAGAACAAAAATATTGATCCATAATATAGCAAGAGTCCATTAATATAAAAGTCATGACATACAGCAAAGGATAGTCTAGTTTGCTGTCTTTTTGGAAAAGAATGAAATTAGATTCCTATCTCATGTTATATATAATTTTTAAAAAGAGAACATTTATGGGGATAGTGAAGGTATTTGTAAACCAGATACAAAACGTATAAACCACAAAGGAAAAATACTGACTATAGCCAAATAATAAACTGTAAAAAAAAAACTATCAGAAAAAAGATAGACTAGAAAATAGGTGTAATCATAATAAACATCAACAAAAGAAAACTACAAATAACTCCAAAGAAATATTGACAATTCACAAATAAGAAAACCCAAATGGCTAATCAACATGCTAAAAGATGCCCAAGTTTACTACCAAGCAGGAAAACATAAATAGGTATAATAACTAAAGAACTGGTAATCCTAGTGAGGTTGAAGATAGATATATCACACAACCAAATGATTCAACTTCTAGGTATCTTTCCCGGGCAAACATATATACATGAGAAAACATGTACATGGATATCTACTGCATACTGTTTGTAACAGAGAAAAGACAGAAAAACCTATCTATCAAGTAGGGGAGTATATAGTCTATGGTTCATTCTACAACACAGAAATTATACATAGCATATTATGATGTTGGTTATGTTCTTTGTTTTATTAACATGGCCTAATAAATGTTAAAAACTAAATCTGGTTATCTAAATATCTCTAAAAATGGCCTTTAAAAATACTCATATAGAAAACATAGCATACCTATTTCATCTATAAAGATGATGGATGGTTGTAGCTTTATGGCAAGGGAGAAGACAGCAGCAGCCAATTTCTGAGATTCTCCATACCACTTATCGGTCAGTGTCGAAGGCTGAAGGTTAATAAATCGACAGCCTGCTTCTTTGGCTGTGGCCTTGGCAATCAACGTTTTACCACAGCCTGGAGGCCCATAGAGAAGAACACCTGGAAATGAATATGTTATTTATTACCTTTAAGGGGATATTTGCTTCAATTTATATGATAATCAATAGAATAGTAATTCCTTCCACAAAAAACTTTCCCAATATTCAATTCTGCTTTTATTTAATCTTGTTTATAGTAGGTAAGATAGAAGAAAGGAAGATGCCATGTTCTAAGCTCAGTGTCAGTTAAGAGCATGTATTTGGGGATTACAGCATCCTGTGCCCTCTCCCTTCATGAAAAGGTTCAGTTTAAATGCTCACCTTGACATCCAAATTCATACCACTTTATCAACAGTTGAAAAACAAAATCATCTAAGGCCCTCCACCTTCACAAGCAAACAATGCACCATAGTGCTTTGATATTAGCCTACAGAAGGTAAACAACTTCAAAACAGATTGTGGCAAACACTGTTTTGCTGTTGCTCACAGATTAAGTTTTAGCCAAAGGACATGTGCCTTTTTCCAAACAATCTTTTCCTAAAAGAAACAGAAATTATCAGTCACTCCTGTTTTAATTTCCAAAGAATAAAACTATATTATTAACCTATGGTCTCCATTAACAGCATTTTGCTGCTAAATACAATTTAAGGTAACACTTTTAATACAAGGGATCTAGAGGTTGGGATCTTGAACATTTTGGGAACCACCACCAACTGTTTCTCAACTAAAATGAGATAGCATTTTCTAAATTTAATAATATTAAATATATAATAATACTAAATATATAATACTAAAATTATAATTTTACCAAATTACTAAACTCAGTACTACATGATCTGGCACCTAAACTTAGTACTAAGATGGTTATTAAAATAAACCATCTACAGACAGCCCTAACAAAAACTGTAATAGGCAGACCTCTCAAAATATTTGTTTAATTCAAAGCTCAACTTTTCCTATGAAACAGTATTTTTTAAAATGCCATCTATATAGATGGCATGCTAGGGTGAACTGGAAGGGATCTGGAGGAGTCCAAAATTTTCTTATATATAATAAAAATAAAATTCAAAATGAGAGGAAAAATAATTTTGTATGAAAATTCCCAAAAATATCTCAATTTAAAAAAAAAAAGAAATCTGCACCTGATTCCATAACTCTAGCAATTTTATTTTTCACATCAAACACTTCAAAATAATGTTCAAGCTCTTCCTCAAGCATACATAGAATTTTCTACTGGTCTTTATAATTCTTGAAGATTCAAGTTCTAACAGCAACTAATCTAAGTTTAATCATATGAAACTAAACTTTTCTAAAGCTGACTTTTAAATTTAAATCCATAAGCTTTACCAATACATGTTAATTGTATTTTCAAGCATTCTGCAAATTTTAATTAAGTTCACTTAGGTGCTTAAAATTTGGTTAAGTCAGTTATAATTTGAATCTTCTACTGACATTTTTCTTTTGGATGGCTCATATGAAACAATAAAGAATAGTAATCTAAAACCACCTGTTTGCAGATACTTGGAATTATTAATTTCATCATTTTGATCACATAATTTAATATAGAATGCATATCCATTATAAAACTTTTATACACATGTTACTTAAATCTCTGGGTTTTTATATTGTTACACTTGGTACTTTCTTAAAAACTAAATTTCAAGGTTTTTAGAACAAAGTATTTATGCAAAAGCCTCCATATTTTGTTGACTTTGTAGCTACTCTACCACTTCATAAACATATTCAGAGATTTTAGAGTGTTGTGTTTGATTCAAATTATTCATCTATCACTTGGAATATTTCCCTTCTAGTAGATCGGTTTTGTTACTTTTTAGCAGGATTAAGTTTTTCCTCTTCAAGGATTACAATTAGTGTTATTAACTGAGCAGTTATGAGTGTCTGGAGTGCCTAAAGATTCAATATGCAAAGAAAGCTTGTGGCTATCCTAACTTTCTGGGGACAGGCTGTAACAGAGAAGGTACACAAGCTGTCAATATTCCCTTCTTGACCTGGGTAGTAGTTACATAAGTGTGTTAGCCTTATAGTTATTCAGTAAACTGCTTTATCCCCATTCCTGTGGCTCACGCCTGTAATCCCAGCACTTTGGGAGGGCGAGGTGGGCAGATCACGAGGTGAGGAGATCGAGACCATCCTGGCTAATACGGTGAAACCCCGACTCTACCAAAATATAAAAAATTAGCCAGGCATGGTGGTGCACGCCTGTAATCCCAGCTACTGGGGAGGCTGAGTTAGAAGAATCTCTTAAACCCGGGAGGCAGAGGTTGCAGTGAGCCGAGATTGCGCCATTGCACTCCAGGGTGGGCAACAGGGCGAGACTCCGTCTCAAAAAAAAAAAAAAGTTACACTAAAATTCAGATTGGCTTGTCTGACAAATTATCAGTGAGTCTAGAGATAACGTTATTTAGAGTGGCACCTTTTCTATATACTTTCCTAAAATGGTCTCCACAGTGATAATAATTACGATGGGTGACAAATGAGTACTGCAATGAATGTGAGGCATTTAGCTTTTATTATTAGCTTTGCAACCTTTAAATTAGTTCTTTGAGCTTAATCTGATACTTTTATAACCAACTTCAACAAATAAAAACTGTGTTTATTATCTTAAGCTTTATAGAGGCTTAAAAATTTAAACTCCTTTTTAAGACGGATGTTTTTGGTAATGGCTTTACTTAGTAAGTGCTATATGCAAATAAAAGATTTAGGAAGAGGATGGGCACAGTGGTTCACACCTGTAATCTCAACACTTTGGGATGCTGAGGCAGGAGGATAACGAGCCCAGGAATTCAAGACCAACCTGGGCCACAAAGTGAGACCCTGTCTCTACAAAAAATTAAAACATTAGGCAGGCATGGTGGTACATGCCTTGCAGTTCCAGCTACTCAGGACCCAGAGGCAGGAGGATCATTTGAGCCCAGGAGGCTGCAGCAGTGGGCTATGGTTACACACTCCAGCCTGGTGACAGTAAGACTCTGTCTCCAAAAAAAAGGATAAGAACAAAAAAAGTATTGGGATACACAAATCTAAATTTGAGATAATCCTCATTTGTGACAAATATTCCACCTTATTAGTGACTATTTTTCTTTTTTGGACAACTGTTTATTGGCTTTAACATAAAATTTGTCCAAATGGTGCAAAAATACACATCTATATAAATTAAATCTACTTAAATATAAAGTACTTGAGAAGAATATGGGTCTTTATAACAGAAAATCTATTTTTAAAATTATTTTTTTCCTTAGGTTACTCACAATTTAAAGAATGCACCAAAACATGAAGTATAACATTCACAAATGTAATAAAATTTATATACCAAAATAACAATACAGAATTCAGAAAGTTTACAGAGGAAGCCATATGGTATTCAGATGGATTTTGTTGGAATTTTAACTGTTGTAAATTTTTAGACGTTTGAGGGAAAAAAATCACTTTTTAAATATAACCGTCAATATCTTATGTGTGCCCCCATTTCCCTGTCACCAATTAGCGGCATCATGGTGTGCATTAGCTTCAACTTTGTATCTATACACAATAGTTACATATGACCTCATGCACTGCATGGATACTGCAGTCACTCTCCAATTATCTTTTTGTAGTCTGTGTGAAGCAGTGATCACTTTCAGCTCAGATAGCAATAAACTGTCTAAGGATAACATAAAATTGTCAATAACTCTAACCTAGGTAACCTAGTTCCAGTCCCAAAATGGAACAAACAAGGATGCATCTGATTTTACACTCTGCTTCTATACACCAATATCCAATTTATATTGAGGGTCAAAAAGTAAATTAATGATCTTCAAAACTGTTATTCTTGATTAAAAATTGTCCAGACATAAAGGTGAAAAAGTTCAAATAGCAAAACTTTATATAATCAGAAAATATTCATGTAACTTTTAAATTGGACAATGCTTTCAAATAAGAAGCAAATTTACATATAACTTTTGAAGTATTCCCTGCATAATTTGGTATCCACTCTGCTAAATGGGTCTTTAAACCAAGTCCAACTGGAGAAATCACCCAATTACCTGGTCTAAGATAACACTGATAAAAAAAGAAGCTTTCTCCAACAGCATATAAAAGGTATTTTACTTTCCTAAATTCACTAGCATTGTCCAATTGAGAACTAAAAATGCAGAAAAGTCATTTTTTGTTCAGACTACAAATAACCTGGAAGAGGGTAGTAAAGACTTAACTAATCCAACTATAGCCATACATTTTTGATCTGGGCTCAAATAATCATTCAAAGTTTTTTTTGCGGCAGGGGGGAAATCACAATAAACTGAGTGTTTTGTTAGGAAAAACTATAAGCAGTGTTGTTATTTCAGAAAACAAAAAGAAATACCTAATAGCTTTGTTGTTTTAATAATAAAAGAACATGTCATTTTTGCTGTTAACTGTCATCCTCCACTTACCAGAAACAAAAATTATGTAGTTCATAAAAATGCACAGGTACAGGCTTCAGTTACCTTTGATATGTAAATTAATGCACTTTATTGATATAGCTGCAAATTTAGAAAGATTATAAGCATTATAATTTAAACATACATAATGCTATTTTGATATTTTTAAAGATCCACTTTTTTGAAAAATCAATGTGACTAATAATTTAAGTCTTGACTAACAACATATCAAACCCATATAGTTTTGGCAATGCATTAGATAAGAGTTTCTGCTAGATGAAAATAAGCTATCTCGTGAAATTTGGATCTGAACGCCATAGTAACACACACATATATCTCTCACTGTAAATTATTTACACTCCATCTGAATCACCTTTAACAAGCCTTAAGCATGACAGAAATATGTGCACTAGCTGGGCACAATGGCTCATGCCTGTAATCCCAGCACTCTAGGAGGCCAACGCAGGTGAAGAACTTGAACTCAGGAGTTCAAGACCAGCCTGAGCAACATGGTGAAACACCATCATTACCAAAAATATAAAAAAAGAGCCAGGCGTGGTGGCACATGCCTGTGGTCCCAGCTACTCAGGAGGCTCAGGTGGGAGGATCACTTGAGCCTGGGAGGCGGAAGTTGCAGTGAGCCAAGATCATGCCACTGCATTTCAACTTGGGTGACACAGTGAGACCCCATCTCAAAAAGAAAAGAAAAGAGAGAAAAGAAAAAAAAAGAAAGATTTGAATGAACAAGAATTACACTTAATGATGCAGTTATGAGCATATTCAATTCTTGAGTTCCAAGACTTTCAAAGTGATTTTGAATAAGCAAACATCTCCATCAAAGTTAAATATTTAATTTCTAGTTCATCTGCAGATAAATATTTCCTGAAAAAGAATCATTACATTCTAAAAATAAGATCGTTGGAGCTGTGAAACAAGAAAAAAATGTCTTGGCTTGAAAACAAAACAAAACAAAACAAAAAACTTGTATTATGACTTTGAATCTTTCTTTAATCTTGATTTTCCAAATTTTAATTTACTTGGAAGTAAGAGAAAAGAAATTGAAGGAGATTATTTTAACAAGTATTTTAACATGTAAATACAGGAAAAAGTTTATCTCAATTTCAGAAGCTGAAGAATGAGCAATTATTTTAAGAAACTGTTCACATAGATCTCAGCATCCTCTTGAGAATCTGATTTCACAAAAACTAGTTCTACAATGGCAGAAAGTTTCAATGTTTTCTAGGATTTTAATGCTTTAGGCGAATATATACCTTTACCATACCTTTTGGAGGCTGCAGAAGCCTGGAATTCTCAAACAAATGTTTCTTTTTGATAGGTAAGATGACTGTGTCTTTCAGATCCGTAATGACATCATCTAAACCTGCTATATCACTCCAAGTAACCTGGCAAAAGTTAAGGTCAACATGAATTTTACTACAAATGTACACTCACTAAAGTAAAAAGAACGCTCCCAAAATTACAAATGTTAATCTGATGATTATACATAAATAAGTTAAAATCATATATTAACATAAGTAAAGACTTTTCCAAGCAGTAATGAAATAAACTGCTATGAAACTGGAAAAAGGAATTTAATAGTCAACTATCTACTATTAAAAATCTGTAAGTCAGGTACTCAAAAATCTGCAAGGGTCTAATAAGCTAAATTCATTCCACTTGTAAGGAGAAAATACTCTGCTGCAAGAATACTGAGAACCAGCTGAGACATAATTTAGCACTGGCTGATGGGAAAGAGCTCATCAGGAATGTACCTATTTTATACAGGATGTTGTCAAGCATCACAGAAATTAATTTTAGAAATAAGGTCTTACAAAACATAGCTTCTGAATTTTATCCATCAAAAGTAAACCTATGGACCAGGCGTGGTCGCTCACGCCTGTAATCCAGCACTTTGGGAGGCCAAGGTGAGCGGATCACTTGAGGTCAGGAGTTCGGGACCAGCCTGGCCAACATGGTTGAAACCCCGTCTCTACTAAAATTACAAAAAAAAAAAAAAAAAAAAAAAAATTAACCAGGTGTAGTGGTGTGTGCCTGTAGTCCCAGCTACTTGGGAGGCTGAGGCAGGAGAATTGCCAGAACCTGGGAGGCGGAGGTTACAGTGAGCCAAGATCATGCCACTGCACTCCATCCTAGGTGACAGAGTGAGACTCTGTCTCAAAAAAAAAAAAAAAAAATTACAACTATGTTAAAACTTAAGGAAGTATCTTTATAAATAAAAACAGGGCATACGTATTTTCAAAATAGACAAGAAAAACCTGATTCAACTTGTCCTGAAAGGACTGGCACTTGTCCTGAAAGGAGCTGGAGTTGGGGCCAATCAGAAGCAATACTTTACAATAGATTCATTTCCTTCAAAATGTAAAAAAAAATGATAAAAAGGGAAGGTGCAAACCAGCAGCCAGATCTGAAAAAAAAAATAACTTTCACTGTAACAGCAACAAAAAACTAAGTCTGTTAGTACAGATTTATTCAGAAATTAATATAGGCAGGGTTCCAAGAAGGTACCATTGTAAATCTATAAACCAAATTCAAATGCAGGCTTAATTCTAGGGTGTGTGTATGTCTCTGTATACACAGATATTAAGACATTGCAGACTTTTATTTTCTAGATATGGAGATGGGACTACTTCATTCTACTTATTTATAGCAATATAACATTAATGTATTAGGCAAATATTTTCTATTTATAGAATTTATAAATGTATACTTATTGTTACAAAATATTGATATAGGATCTTATACATTACATCAATCTCATCCTCAAAATAATCCTTATGAAGTAGGTAAAGTAGGTATTATTATCTCTAGATTATACATGAGGGAACTGAGACTCAAAGAGGAAATCATTTGCCAAGGCCATTAATGGAAAACCTGGGATTTAGTATCCTGTGTTATCATACCATATTATGAAAATTTAGGTTTAAACTCTATAAAACAAAAATCCACATGACTTAAAGCAGTACGCTTTATACACCACAAAGGCAAATACATAAAAGTTTTACTAAACAAATGCGTACAGAAAAGAGTTAACAAAGTAGGCCTGAGACTGTTGTCCTTAGAAAGGCATATTTGCAAGATTGGCCCTTGGCTGGCATGTGGGAACTTAGATTTCAGAAGAGTGCCACAATTTCTTGACAAGAACAGCTCACTGTGCCTAAACTGTTTGTGCAAACAATATGGTTTATGGTGAAACATCCATTTTCCTTCTGGGAGTCTAGAATTTTGGTACATTTAAGGGAAGAGGAAAGCTATATAACCAGCCCCCAATAAATATGTTGGGGACTGAGTCTCCCGTGAGCTTTCCTGGTGACAACACTGCACATGTGTTGTCACAACTTGATGCACTAATTAAGCACTGTGTGACTCCACTTGGAATCTTGCGCCTGGCTTCCTTCAGACTTCATCCCATGCCCCCTTCCCTTTGCTGATTTTGCTTTGTATCTTTTCAGTGTAATAAATCATATACAGGAATACAACTATATGCCGAGTCTTATGATTCAGCCTAGAGAATCAAAGAACCCGGCCGTGATCTTTAAGACCCCTGACACAAAATGCTAGAACCCACCCCCACCTCTAAAAAAATCTTAAATAAGATTAAAGATACATACATGCATATTAAGAGGGTCTACAAGATGAGCAGCAATACTCATTTCATATTCTGAGAGCTTCACATTTTTCACTCCAATTTGCTTCATTAGTTTTTCTGCCTAGAATGAAAAGAACAAACAACCTGCTTTGATTTGATATTTAGATACTGGCACTTCGAAATAGATATATGTGAAGTCTAAAGAGCAATGAACAGATAGATATACAAGAAATTTCCAAGGATATTCTAGGCCCCTTGATCTTAGCCTTCTCCATTGTGAGCCCTCAGGTAACGATTTGAGGCTCTAATCCACTGAAATCAGGGAAATTTAACCACCTTTCAGGAAATGAGAAAATAGGGTATGTGACTGAAGAGATCTTACACTTCCAAGAGGGGCTCCCATTGTTTCAATGAGACTCTAGGATACAGCTTAGTTTCTCATTCCTAACAGGACTATCATGACTGGCAAAGGTGAAATCTCAAGAGGAAAGACAGAGGAGTTAAGGAGGGCAAGAAATGTATAAGTGAAGTTTCTTTAAACTGAGTATCTGAAACAGATGTCCAACTTCCTTCAAATTAATCCAGGTATCTACAATAGATGGCCACACATATCCCATTTTAAATTGCTCTGTTATGCTGTCCCTTTTAGGTAGAAGACAATTCTTGGGACTAGGCAACCAGAGTTATAATAAAAATAACTCTAACAACCAGCATTAAACCTATGAGTTCTAGCAATACAACAAAGCTTTCAATTAAAATAAAGATAATGAAAAACATTTACTGAGTGTGCCAAATATTATGCCAAAATACAGTAAAAGGATTAACTTATTGAATCCTAAGAGCCAATACTATGAGATAGTCATAATATTTTCCCAATCACAGAAAAAGAAACTGAAGTTTAGCATGATTAAGTAATTTGCCTTTGGTTAAAAGTTAGCCAAGAGAAGAAACAAGATATGAATTCAAGGAGTCCAACACTAGAGTCCATACTTGACTACCACACATATTTGCCCTGATTTCTTCAATTTTAAGACTGGAGTTTATAACCATGAAAGAGTCTTTAAAAATCTATACATAACAAATTCAAATTTCAATTAAGTGAACATTTTAGAAATGAAGGGACTCTGGTAAATCATGTTTACCTAAGTTTTGGTTATTACATTTTCCTAAAATGCTTTTGATTATATAGAATCTTGCTGTCTATCCAGGGTTATGACTGCTCTAAAAGGAAATTCACATCACACAGCATTTTAGTTATAGAATAGCTAGGAGGTTAGGATAAATGTGTTTAATAGCTTTAAAAAAAAAAAGTACTATGGGGGCCAGGAATGGGGGCTCCCAGCACTTTGGAAGGCTGAGTTGGGAGGATTGCTTGAACCCAGGAGTTCGAGACCAGCCTGGGCAACACAGACGCCATCTCTACAAAAAATCAAAACTTAGCTGTATGTGGTAGTACACGCCTGTAGTCCTAGATACTCTGGAGGCTGAGGGAGGAGGATTACTTGAGCCTTGGAGATCAAGACTGCAGTGAGCCATAATCATGCCACTGCATTCCAGCCTGGACAAGAGACAAATCTTGTCTCATAAGAATTTTTAAAAAGTGCTATGAACCACATCACATAATCAAACAGGATACATCTCCTGTTTATCTTGCCCCTGTAAAGTCACTGAATCAATAGATAATCTTTTGTAGATCCCTTTGTCACTTGTAAATACCTTCTCTTTTACTGCCATAAGTCGTTTACATGTCAGTTAAAAAAGGTATCCTATTTTAGCATCTGAATAACATTTACTCTTCATTTTCATTATGCTACAGTAAATGTGAAACCCTCCCACATGTGTTCTTTTTAAGCAACGCTCGAAGACAGTGGTTTTCCCAGGGGACATTTGGCAAAGTCTGGAAATACTTCTGGTTGTCACACTTGGGGGTAGGGTGATACCAGCATCTAGTCAGTAGAGGTAGAGATGCCACTGAACATTCTACAAGGCACAGGACAGCCTCCCTTTCCCCATCCCAAATAATTATTGGCCCAAAATGTCAACAATGCCTGATATGAGAAACCCTGTTTTATTCCCTATTAGCTAGTTGCCCTGAAAATTTTACTCTATGCCTAAATAAAGCTTTTAAAATTGCCTCTTGATTTAAAGAATAGCCTTTATTTCTATCTGGAACTTCCTAAATAAAAAATGACAAATGAATAATGTTTAGTTTACATAGAGACAGAAAATTTTATCTTTTCAAGTTTACCTAAGATCTCTTTCCTGCAACAGCAGTCCCACTTTAACAATCTCTTCAGATTGTATTCACAATATATCATTAAAAGAAAAGGGAAAAGGAACTAATGGTTTTATTGAGCACCTACCATATCTAGCACTGTGCTAGGTAATTTATAATCAACCCTTAAAATTAACCTGAGAAGTAACTATTATTATCCTTATTATTTAGATGAGGAATTTACAGGTCAGAGAAATTAAAAGAAATGTCAGGATTATACAGCTAGGAAGTGACATTAACAGAGCTCAAATACTGATTTGTCTAATTTCGAATCCCATATTTTGCTGAAACACTAATACTCTTCATTTGGGAGAGCAGAACATGGCTGGCAAATAAATGGAACACACCAAAAAACACACCAAAACTGCCACCAAACAAACTGTGTCCCAGGAAGAAGTTATACAATTGCCTAGTTTTGACACTTTTAAGTGAGCCACTAGATAAGCAGAAAAACAAAATTATGATTGGACTACTGTAAAAATGGCTTATGTTTATGCATACTTTCTTGTTTACAGCTTAATGAAAGTTATATTTTCTGATCACCATGGTTTGCTTGTTTTTTTTTTTTTTAAAGTAGGTCTCTCCAAGTGGTTGTTGTTTCTGTGGAGGGAAAATGAGTTGGATGGGGAGTGTGTGGGGGCCAAAAGAAGGAGGAAAACTTACTTTTTACTGTATACCCATATTTTTTTGACTGTTCCAAATGATTTTCTACCCTTTCACACTATTTTTTACCCTTTCATGCTATTTCACTTTTTTCTCCATGCAAAGTATTATTTTTTCAAAAAGATTAAGAAGTGGAATAGGAAATATTAAACTAATATTTTTGCCTGGAGTAGGGAAGGCAGAAATGGGGACAAGCAGCAGCAAAGAAAATACTTATGAGCTAACACTCATTTCATTCAGGTTCTAAAGATTCATAAAATTGTCCTTTTGGAAGAATCAGTTTAGAAAGTTGGACATGTCATTAACAAGAGTGAAAAATCAGAGATGAACGAATTAAACTTAAGTTAGAAACAAGGACAACCTCTGATCTTTTTACCAAGGTCATAGCTGAAGTGTTCCAATTTAAGTGTATGCAGACGAATCACTGATATAAAGCTTTTTAAAAATGCATTTAAAAGGGAACTAACAAGGATTCTGAGTATGTAAGTATCTTTATATAATAGATATAATCATTTATTACAAACTTACATTAAAACTCTGGAAAAACATCTTCTACACATGTGGAAACAGTGATCCTCTTTTAGGGTTAGTGTACTTATACCTCTTTCCTCTCATTTTACCATTATGTATTCTGAAAGTTCTTGGGTAAGATGGCTTTGTACTGTAAAAGGAAAATAAATCTTGGGGGCCCCAAATCACTAAGCTAAAGGGAAAAGTGAAGCTGGGAACTGCTTAGGGCAAACCTGCCTCCCATTCTATTCAAAGTCACCCCTCTGGCTCACTGGGATAAATGTATATCTTACTGCCTCCTTTAGAGAAGCTAGTAAGAAATTCAAAAGAATGCAATCATTTGCCTCTTATCTACCTATGACCTGGAAGCCCCCTCCCTGCTTCAAGTTGTCCTGCCTTTGTTTCCAGTTCCGGACAGAACCCAATGTTCATCTTACATATGTTGACTGATGTTTCGTGTCTCCCTAAAATGTATAAAACCAAACTGTTCTCTGACCACTTTGGGCACATGTCTCAGGACCTCCTGCAGCTGTGTCATGGTCCCGTGTACTCAACCTTGGCAAAATAAACTTTCTAAATTAACTGAGACCTGTCTCAGATATGTGGGGTTCACATTTTGGTGACCATGAAGGGATTCTGAGTGGAGGTGACCCTGACCTTTGACAAATATCCTATCGGAGCTTGACACCAGCATGAGCTAACTTTATGGCTCAAACCGATAGTACTATTTGCTGATGTCTGTGAGTATCCCCTCCAGATAACACCTGATCTCCCAAAATTTGGTGGAGACCTAAAGTTTATTTTGCAATACAACTCCCTTTTTTTGGAGTTTCACTTGCTTCCAACAAGGAAAGCAAGATTTCCTGCTTACATAGCGATGGACAGAAGGTAACTCCTTTACAGAGTTTGAGCTCACTCCTAGCAGGGAAGATGAGTTTGACTTTTTTCCTGCTTCTAGGATGTAGAGAGCAGTCTTCAGCCTGAGACCTATCCCTGGGTAAGTAGCTGAATTGGGGTTTTGTCTTGGCTAAAGTTTAACAACTAGCTGGTCTTAATTTCTCCTTACCATTAGCACAGTCAGTGATCATATTGTTGGGTTTTTTGTTGTTTGTTTGTTCTGGTCTTTCTCCCATCAGATTTGACAAACTCTACTTGACTTGGTCAAATCTGAGAATTCCAAATTATGGGTAACAAAACCTCTCTAATTTGGCTAAAATTCCTCGCAGCTGCAAAAGAGGAAAGAAAAAAAAACAAAAACAAAAATCCATGCGCTTGGTTTCTGTGTTTGCTTACTGTCTTAAAAAAACAAATGTTCTTTCATTTACTTTTCTTCCACCCTATACCTCCTTCCCCCTTTGCCATCTGTAGTACCAAAAAATCTAGAGAAGGTTTCTAATGACTTGAACCCATTAAAAGAATTCAGAACAAAGACACCACTCACCCCTTTTAGAGTGTTCTGTTTTCCTTGTGGAGTTTCAAGAGTCATGGGCAGAGTCTTCTTAAGTCTAAACCTCTGTTTCCATATTATTCCATGACCTGACTTGTTTGGCTTGGGGGTACCAGAGATTATCTTGTACCACGAGAGGATTTGACCTTGGTGTGTGTAATGGTGAATGAGAGCTACAAGTTAGGGGTGGCTGAGCACAGTTTACAGGAAGTGGTCTTGGCTGTTTTTTCTCCTACGAAGTTGTTAAGGATCCTGATTCTACTTCAGAGATGCATTCTAAAGGGTCTTCTCTATCGCCTTTTCTACCAAAATTAATCTCTGTTTGGCTTTTCTGCGCACATTTGTGTGAGGAACTGAACTGTTGTTTTTGCAGGTAAATGACAGATTGAGTTTTCTCAGCTCCAAAGAGAAAGGGTGTTTTGCTCCCCCCAGCCAAAAGGTGCCCCTGGGTGACCGGGGGCCTAATGGGAGTGTACAGGGGGTTAACCTCCCTCGACGTGCAGTGGCCTTACAAGAAAATCCCCAACAAAAATTAATTTTTAAAAAGGCTTGTCCAGGAAACACACATAAGTCCTGATCATCCCATGTTTTGAGCCCTCTCAGAGGTCATGGACCTCTGGAGAGAGAAACCAAGACATGTAAGAGGGCAGAAACAACTCAGTGGTGACACACTGTGGAGTCCTGCCCACAAGCAGCACACATCCATCCACACATAAAAACCCTAGGCCACAGCTCAGTTCCTCCTTTTAAGAAAAAGTGGGAAACGTTCTAAGAATGAGGAGAATGATCCCCTTTCAAGCACTCCGTAGGTTTTATGGCACCACTACTTGCCAGAGTTTATGTAAAACGGAAGTAACATGGTCTTTGTGCACATTTACATTAAAGAAAAAGAACCCTAAGGTCGACCTACAAACTACAGAGTTGCTACGTTCTCTTTCTGTGTCTTTCATTTCTGGCTGCTTTGAATCTGCTGTTATTTTTCTACTAAGATAAAAACCACTGTTTGGATCTAACAGGTTTTTTGTGTTTTTTTTTTGCAAGCCAGTGAATTTGTATTTATCTCATGGCTAAAGTTCCAAAGTAAAAGCTATAGGGGGTGTGTGTGTGTGTGTGTGTGTGTGTGTGTATTTAAAATGCCTTTATAATTTCCATAGCTTTATGTTTAATTGGCAATTAAATCCACTTTAATTTCCCTCTTAGCACACTAGACGTTTTCTTTCCATACTTTATGGTGTAAATTTGGCTATCTGATTTTCACCTGAGTTGTTTCCTTTAACATGCAAATTAAAGGCTATTTAGCTGACAACTGCCTAGGGTAGTGAAAAAGGTTATTAAGAATTTGAAGTCTATGGTAGGAAAATAAAATTTTTATGAATCTATAATATGTACTTCTATCAGCATGCCTAATATGTCTATGTATTTATGTGTTGTGTACACAATGTTTCACTACTGAAAATATATAAAAGAGCTCTAACTAATTGGCTTAAGAAAATAAAAGTGCTTGGAATCAAATACTTCATCAGGAAAAAAGAGAAGACTCGTCAAATGCTTTTTCAAGTTTACATAATTTAATAAAATCTTTAATAAATAAGCTAGCTTTAAAATTACTGGCAAAATAATATTAGAAATATCTTAAGAATTGCCAAAATATATTTTTGTTTGCATTTATTAATCAAGCAATTTCATACTTATCCCTGCAAAATACTATTAAGGTGTCAAAATTTGGCATAGGGATTAAAAACCATAAATCCAGCCCCAAACAGAATGATCTTTGCTTGCGTAATTGTTAATAAATAAGACATTGATATTGGTTTAATGAAAATAGCTACATCTTGAAGTTAGTAAGATTATCATAACTTCTAATCTTGTGGCTTTAGGCAGTCTAGACCATAGTCAGTAAGGTTTGTTTTGGGAAAAGGCTGTTATTGCCTTTGTTTCAAAGCTAAACTATAAACCAAGTTCCTCCCGAAGTTAGTTCAGCCTATGCCCAGGAATGAATGAGGACAGCTTGGAGGTTAGAAGCAAGATGGGGTGAGTTAGGTCAGATCTTTTTCACTGTCTCAGTTATGATTTTGCAATGGTGGTTCTGTAACTTTAAATGATGACCATTACAGTTTTCATAAATAGTCTAGGTAAACAATTAAAATAATTAGGTAAATGCAATGGGATAATTGTAGACAAACTCATCATAATTTAGAATCTAAAGTTATACTAAAATAATAAATATTTCAATAAAATATATTGTAGAAAAATATTTTTTTTTTTAAAAAGTGTGTCCTTTTTAAAAAGGTGAACAATTTTTGTCTAATTCAATGCTTATTTAGGTCATGTATAAAAGAAGGTAAAAGGAACCAGGAAGTAAGAGACATGTAAAGAAAGTTGTAAAAATAAAGAGGGTTGTTTTGGTAAGAAAGCTTAAAAAGAAATAATGAGAAAGACTCTTATATGGTAAATTTAGTCCTACAATAAAATGACTGCTTAAGAAAGAGGATGGTCAGGACAAACCACAGAGTCCAAGCATGTCATGAATGGTCTAAGACACAATAAGAGGATTTATTTAAAAAAAAAAAGAACAAAGAAACTTTTATATAATTAAAGGGAAATTAAAATGGTCTTTCTAGAGATGATTGGACTTGATGTAAAAAAAATTATGTCTATATATATATACACACACACTAAATCACTGGTTAAAACAATGACATTTTCTTAAGTTATTGATTCACGTTTAATAAATTATAAGAGATTTTAATTTTTTTCTAACCCAAACTTCAACTTTTATTGCATCTCACTGTTTTTAGTTTTCTCTCTCCTTTTAAAGGGTGTGAAATTGTAACACTCTCTTTCAACTCATTTTCAGCTCATATTAAGTTTTTTTCCTCAAGTTCTGTTTGTTATGGCCTGATGCTAACAATGTTTTCATGAATATCCAAAGGAAATGTTTTCTTCCAACATAATATTCTGGCAGTGCAGGTCTTTTCTGTTGCCTTTTAGTAACTGGTCTAACATATTTTATGGTTTATTGAAACAATTCTATGCTATTATGATTCAGTTTGGTTTGCTTGGGGAAAAAAGCTGAAATTAAAAAAAAAAATTTTTAATTAAGGTTATTAACATTCATGTATCTTTCTATATGTTCAAAGTACCTGTGCCATTGAGTTACATGGCTTTGACTTCTGGGTCTAAAAAGGACACCAAGTCCTACTAAATCATAAACACTGACAGCAATTAAAGCCTCATCTTCAGGCTCCGTAGAAAATGCCAATCAAAATAAACTGCGTTTCTAAAACACAAGGCCAGAAATTAAAGGTATTCAACTCCTCAAGGCCCAGGGACTATCATAGAAGAGGCGGGCATGTGAAATTGGAAGGCCCAATTTTGAGAGAGAAAATAAGTTCAGCTTCTCTATAAATTAATCATTCATATCAAAGGCACACTAATGCAAAACCAACATATGGGCCCCTGTGTCAGATTAACAAGGTTTTGTTGAAGCATTAACTGACTCCTTAATAAAGGTTATAAATGCTGTGAAAGGCTTAAGGAAGTTATATCTTATGGTCAAGATTAAAATTTTGGAGACTGTTTATAAACTTTTAAAAATAAATTGAATTGGTTTCATGCTGTTTTTATTAGGCCTTATCGTTTGGAGAATTAAGTCTCCTCTCTCAAAGAATGAAGGTTTTCACCTTTTTCTGAGTTATCACTTTGGTGAAATGAATGACTTATTTTACAATGACCTGTAGTATGAAGTTTTTTAAACCTTTGATATTTGACAAACTTTCCAAAATCAAATGATAAATTATGTCTTTTTTTTGACCTAATTAATTCTTTAAGACATTAGGTTCCCTATAAAGTTCAAAAAATGACATAATTTGGCTTATTTAGTAAAAAAAATTACACAGGAAACATTGTCATATAAGAAATGGTGTTTGGTTTTCTTGGTCTGTATTTGTAGAGATGTTATTAGTATGTGTCCTAAAATTATGAGAAACTCCTATAATTCTGATATGACTTAATGTTATTAGTATGTGTCCTAAAATTATGAGAAACTCCTATAATTCTGATATGACTTAATGTACATTATCAATAATAATTATAATTATTGTGTGCCACAGAGATAATAAATTCCCTTGTCAACTATGTCTTTGACTATGGCTACCCTAAAACTTTTGTCATCCATGGACAATTGTTACCTTCTTTTGGTCCTCTTTAGAAGGTGGTTTTATAATCAGCTATAAAACTCTAACAGGTGCTCTTGAATGAATGTTTCTGATTGGAGATTGTGACATCAAAATAGAAGAAAAACTTTCAGGACTCACAGAGAGCTGGAACATCCATGAATATCAAACAGAACAGGAATTAACTGCATGGACTGAATTAACAGAAGACTGAAGTTATCTTTTTGACTTTTTGCTTAAAATGTTGCTGATCCTTTGTTTTGTTTTTTTCAAAGAAACTTTTCTTTTGCACTATTGACAGCTTCTAACAATTCAGTAGACTCCTATGAACAAAATTTGGAGCATATTTGTTTCTCTCTACCTGATTTCTCTAGAATTTGGAAACTATTTGTGAGTATTCTTAACTTATGGCAATACAGTTATTTGCGTAAGTGCAATAAGAATCTGTTTTCATTTGTAACAGGACACAATTGGAGAAACTAGTTATTTTACCAAGGCTTTGACTGGAATGGTGTGCTTTCCTTTAAGGAATCAAACTTGACTTACAGAGCCAATGAAAGCCCCTTGGGAAAACTGGCTTCACACCTTATCTACACAGTCCCTGTACAGGGTTTCTGACCTGTTGTTAAGTAAAGAATGTCACTTTCTGACAGGCCCAGGAGCCCCAAGTTTATCTTGGAATCAAGAGGAGAGGAATTCACCCAATTCACAGGTATTTGATGGTACAAATCCATGGCTGGGCTTGGCTTTAAAAAAGTCTTACCTGAGATTATTTCTATGGAACAAAGTTCTATCAAAGCCAATTTAAAAGCCTATGTAGGCAGGGCGCAGTGGCTCATGCCTGTAATCCCAGCACTTTGGGAGGCCAGGGCAGGCAGATCACCCCCGAGATCCCGCCACCGCACTCCAGCCTGGGTGACAGAGCAAGACTATGTCACGAAAAAAAAAAAAAGCCTATGTAACAAAATAATTATTCTTGCTGCACTATATACAAACAATCTGGCCAATTAGAAGAAAGCAAATCAGTCCTACCATAATTTGTCTTTAGTGAAAATGAGAAACTGGAGACAGAGAAATTATGTTTCAAAAACTATAGTATACCTATTGTTAGATTCTAGTCCTGCCTAATATTTTTCAATTTTTATTATTTTCTATAGTTTAGACAGAATTCAAACTTTTCTTGGCTACAAGTCTTCAAAATAATGTTTTCAATTTATTTCCCTTCTTTTTTCCCCCATTTTTCCTAATTTGGAGTCACTGAAAACTAAGCTGTGCTTTCTTAATGCCCTAAGAACTGAAGCTAGACACTTAAACTTCAGAAGAAAAGAACAGCAACTTAGTTACATACATAAGCCACTTTAATACCTGCCTACTGACATATGGACTTCAGGTAATGTGGCCTATATAAATTTTCCAGGATTTGTTTTTTGTTTTTTGTTGTTTTTCTCCCTTCCTCCCCGTTTTCTCTTCACAAGACATGAGACTTCACAACCAGCTAAAATTGAGCTTTCCTAATAACTCAGGACCTATCCGTCAAGGAATAAACCATCCTAGCCATGAGAGATCAGACGAAACTTGAGACCAGAGACTCATTTTCTTCTAAATATGCTTTCTCCAAAAGATTTTTAAAAAGGGAGGAAATATGAAAGGAAAATAAATCTTGGAGACCCCAAATCACTAAAGGGAAAAGTCAAGCTGGGAATTGCTTAGGGCAAATCTGCCTTCCATTCTATTCAAAGTCACCCCTCTGCTGAGATAAACGCGTATCTGCTTGCCTCTTTTGGAGAGGCTAATCAGAAACTCAAAAGAATGCAACCATTGGTCTCTTATCTACTTATGACCTGGAAGTCTCCTCCCTGCTTCAGGTTGCCTCACCTTTGCTTCCAGCTGGACCGAACCAATGTTCATTTTACATATGCTGACTGACGTCTCATGTATCCCTAAAATGTATAAAACCAAACTGCTCTGAACACCCTGGGCACATGTCATCAGGACCTCCTGAGGCTGTGTCATGGGTGCATGTTCTCAACCTTGGCAAAATAAACTTTGTAAATTAACTGAGACCTGTCTCAGATATTTGCGGTTCGCAGTACTATGGTGCTCTTCTACTATGCTTGTGTAGAAAACAATACTGCAGAGTTTTTTCTCCTCTGATTCCCAGCTCCTATTGCTTTTCTTTCCTCATCACTTGTATCTACTCCCTTACCTACCTAGGCAATACTAACTGCTTGTTCCTTACTGACTCCTATCTCAATTTTATTTACTTCAGCTTCTCAGTCTTATAAGACTCAGCTCCAGTAAACCTTGGGTTTAAAAGCCACTTGACTGGCAATGGAGTTCACAACAGCTTTCTGGGGTTAACAAATGTTAGCTCTTCCAAGTTGGCATTCTGTGATAGCTGCTCTTAAAATTCCTGGCAGTTGAGAGTTCCAAGTTTTTAAAGTTTTTTTCAGTACACTCCTTCACAGAAAACTTCAGCTCTTACTTCTCTCAAAATAACAGAAATAGTTTTCAAGTCTACAGTGTAATGATAGGACTAACAATAGGAAGACGTTAAGTTAAATAATTAATGTCATAGTAAGTCACTTTCTGTGTATAACTCGTGTATGAAATCTTTCCTGGCCCTTGATGACTACTAAACCACAATTTCAAGAAAATTATATAGTCTAATTATTATTATTTTGAGACAGGGTCTTACTCTGTCACCCAGGCTGGAATGCAATGGTGAGATCTCGGCTCACTGCAACCTTCGCCACTAGGGTTCAAGCGATTCTCCTGCCTTAGCCTCCCAAGTAGATGGGACTACAGGCACCCATTACCATGTCCACCTAATTTTTGTATTTTTAGTAGAGACGGGGTTTTGCCATGTTGACCAGGCTGGTCTTGACCTCCTGACCTCAGGTGATCCACCTGCCTCAGCTTCCCAAAGTGCTGGGATTACAGGTATGAGCCACCATGCCCAGCCTATGTAGTCTAATTAATATGCTAAACAAAATACTGTATTTATAAATTCCCAAGACAGTTAACACATATTCATCCTGCACTTTAAATCTATTAAACTACACATCTCAACTAACTTAACCCACCCTTTCATCAAAAACATAGCTTATCAAAACTCTTCTACTACATCTAAATATGATCCAAGCAGCAGTATGTGCCCAGAAAAATCCCAGTCCCTGTACAACACCATGTTGAAACCATCTCCTCTCTCATTACCAATTAAATCTCCTGCCTTTCACAAACTGAAGGTTTTCCTGGCTTCAAGTCTAGAAATTTACAAATACATTGTTTAATCCAACATAACGGTATACTTCCAGGATACTGTTTCTGATTTGATGCAACTATGTCATCTTCTACCTCTCATCTCAAAACCGTATTGCCTTTAAAATCACATGGGGCCCACTGATTATCTGGTATACTCAAAGTGTTCTACATCTAAGCTTTTAGATTCAATCCTCTTTCATTCTGACCACAAAAGTCACACCTTCCTCCTCCCACATTCACACCTGATCCTTGCCTTTAATGTGTATTCTAATTCCTTAATTCTTTTCTATTCTCCAACTAAATTATCTCCCATCTGGTAATACTTAACTTTCTAAATGGCCTGAATCACACAGTCATTACTTTAATGATGTGCTCCTGAGAAATCCTTACACTTCTTGTTATACCAGTCAGCTCCATCCCCAATGCCAATTTAACACTACCATTCACTCTATCTGCCACCAAGTTGCTGAGTAATGCTTGAGAATAGTAACAAAACAATTGAGTTCCCAATAAATGCATGCTTTCTTCAAACATGCCCTAATATTTCAAAATCCACAATGATTTAATCTCATTAAATACTGATCACATATTTACCTAAATAGGCCCCCAACCTCCTCCACTCACTCACTTTTAGTCACAATCTCTCCCCTTCATGCTACTAAACATAAAACAACTCTACCCTAAAAATGTTCCCATAACTACTGACCCCAACCCCTCCTGATTCTTCTGGGACCTTCCTCCATCTATTAAATATCCTTTTAGGCAGCCCCTCTCTACCTCCTCCTCCTCCACTAACCTTCTCCCTTTTTTTTTTCTTTTCCCCCAACTCTAGAATGACCATGTTCTTTTACCTCAAATTATACTTGCTGCCTCCACCAAATGGAAATTACTCTCTCCAAGCTTAATTTCACTAAATTTACTGATCACTTTCTTAGATCATATTCCTCATGACCTCTTCTTCTCCTTGACCATTCTATAACACGTTTAAAATCAATTCTCTTTTGCAACCTTCTCCTTCTTTGGCTATGGTGACTTTATGCAAGTGATTCCCCAGACAGTGGGAAAGAAGTGAGAAGAGGGATAACCAAATAATCTCTGAGGTTTTAAAAAATTATATTTGCCACCCCACAAACTTCCCCAAATTCTGATTATTTCTTTGCAGAACATAGTGTTTCAGTTGACAATCACTGCCACAGTGAACCACTATGACTGTCTGCAGTACTCTGTGTACTTCAGATGTATTCATGTAGAAAAGACTATCACCAGTACCCTAAACATCATCTTGGTTTTATTCTCACTCCTCTGGTCATTTTTTTTTTTAAGTTCTTACAGTGCTTTTACTAATAACTAGGTAGATAAAATAATATCTTAGACTGTTTAGATGAGGTATAAAGAAACACAATATAATCAATACCAATCCAGGTTTAAGAACAAGAACATTATTATTATCTTTCAAGTCCTTCGGTGAGGCCCTCTCCAAATACAGATCTTCTCGTCTCCCAGAAAAAAAAATCACAATCCTAAATTGAAATCATCTCTTGCTTTTCTTTAACTTAACCATATGTTTGATTCCCTAAGGTTTAGTTTTACATGTTTCAGAATGTCTACATGGGATCACACTATATGTACTCTTCTGTGACATTTTCATCTCACTATTTCTTAGAGTTGTTGAGCATCTGTATTTCATTCACTTTTCTCCGCGAATATTATGCTCTGGCATGTGCAGACCAAAGTATGCCACTCTGGCATAATAATTATTTTGAGTTGAGGGAAATTTAGAAAAAAACAGATACAAGAAAAGCTATCTGCCCTACTCCTACTTGCCTAAAAACAATAAATTCACAAAGGTCTCCCTCCTCTTCTCTTTACGAGGAAGGACGAAAGTTAATCAAAGGAGACAACTTTAGACACTTAGCCAGAGGAATCTGCATAACAAACTTTACCAACTAGTCTTCATCTACCATTAGTTTCCCACAGTTTGCTGCCCCTAGAGACTCCTTTTCTTTTGTCTGATCGCTTCTTTAAAAATTTGTTTCTTTGCCAAGATACTATATACACTCAAGTTCTAACCAAACTTTTGAGTTACTCATCTCTGGTACTCCTATTGGTTGCATGCTTGATACATGTTAATAAACTTGTTTGTTTTTCTCTTGTTTATCTATCTTTTGTTATAGAGGCCCAAATGAGAATTCAGAACGGTAGAAGGAAAAGTGTTTTTCCTCTCCTATATGTGCATATACCAACATTTATACAAATATTCAGATTGGTTCCTGCTTTTTTCCATTACAAGCAGGGCTGCTATGAGCACTCTTGTATGTATCTCCTGGTTCTTCGCTATATGCCCAGAATGAAACTTGTGGATCACTGACTATGCACATTTTCAACTTTACTAGATAATGCCAAACTATCTTCCAAAATAGTTATACTAATTTATATTCCCAACAGCAATACTTTTGTTCCTACTGTTCCACATTCTCTCCAGCACGTTATTGACAGACTTAAAACTTTACAACCTGGCAGGGGTGAAAAGGTATATCAATTTGACTTTAATTTGCATTTCCTTGATTTCTAATCAGTTTGTGCATCTTTTCATATGTTTATTGACCACTGGAGATTTTTCTTTTTTAATGTGTCTATTTAAGTTTCTTTGCCCATTTTTCTATTATTTTTTCTTACTGATTCAGATGCATTCTATATATGTCCTCAGTACAAATCTTTTAAGTTATAAAAATAATAGGAAACACTTATGCAGCACTGTTATATTTTACATTATATATTTAATTTCAATAGCAACCCAACAAGGTAAGTGCTATTATTATTTCTTTTACAGATAAGAAAACTCAAGACCCAAAGTAGTTAAATAAAACTTTGTGTTTTAGGATTGCCTTCCCTATTTATAGACTTTTGTTCTTCCACATGAATTTCAGGAAAAAATACAACAAAACGAAAATCTGCCAGTATTTTTGTACTGATGTTGAATTTAACTAAACTTTCAATAGTTTTATAATTTTCTCTATGAATGTGTTGTATGTCTTATGTTTGTCCGTTGTTTTATATTTTTGATGCTACTATATAATGCTTTTTTTAAATGACATTTTAAAACATGATGGGTATACAGAAACAGCTGATTTTCGTATACTGATTTTAAATCCAGCAAACCCATCAAACTCTCATGAATCCTGATAGCTTGTAAACATTCTTTGGCTTTCTATGTAGATTATCATATTATCCATTAATAATGACTATTTAGTTTCTTCTTTTCCAATCCCCACCTTTTTGACTTAGGCAGTGGCTAGTAACTCAGTAAAATGTTAAACAGAAGTAAAAGTAAACAAAGAAGTAAACAAAGTAAACAAAGAAAAGCCAAAAAAAAAAAAAAAGTAATGAAAAGTAATGAAAGACAACAGGCTTGCTCCTAATCATAAAGAGAATGTTTCCAATTCTTCACTATAAAATACATTTGTTTTAGTAAATGCATTTTATCAAGTTAAAGATCGCCTGAAGCCGGGAGGCAGAGGTTGCAGTGAGCCAAAATCATGCCACTGCACTCCAGCCTGGGCAACAGAGCAAGGCTCCGTCTAAAAGAAAACACAAAAAACAAAACAAAACAAAAAGAACACTATCTTCTGTTCCCATTTTATTAAAAGCTTTTCTAAAACCATGAATGAATGCTTAAGGCCTTTTCTGCATTTATTGGGAGAATCATACAGGTTTTATTCTTTAATCTGTTAATGTTGCATATTATATTGATTTCCCATCCCTTAAATGAAGCCAGGCTTAAACTCCTGGGATAAATCCAACTGGTCGCATTATATTTTTTCTATATTGCTGAATTTAACTTGCTGACATTTAAGATTCTTATACCAATTTAGAAGGGAGAGAGAGAAATTACAGACTACTATAGGTTTTAGAACTGTAGTTATGCTAGCCTCACAAAAAGGTTTGGAAGTGTTCCCTCGTTTCCTATATTCTAGAAGAATTTGCATAAATTGGTTATTATTAATTTGTTCCTTAAATACTGGCAGAATTTGCTATAAAGTTCTATGGGCCTGAAGTTTTCTTTATAAAAAGATATTTTCACTATTAACTTATTTCATAGTTATGGAACTAACCATGTATTCTATTTCTTCTTAAGTCAGTTTTAGAAATGCATATTTTTCTAAGGGTTTACCCATACCTAAGTTCTCAAATTTATCGACGTAACAGTTGACCCTTACACAATACAGGGATTGGGATACTGACCCCAACACACTCAAAAATCCATAGAGAACTTTTGACTCCCCTCAAACTGAACTACTAAAATAGCCTACTGTTGACCTTATCACTAACAGAAACAGTTAATAACATAGTTTGTATACTGTATTCTTGCAATAAAGTAACCTAGAGAAAGCATGTTATTTAAAAAATCATAAAGGGAAATATATTAACTTCATCCTCATCATCTTCATGTTGAGTAGCGTGAGGAAGAGAGGTTGGTCTTTCTGTCTCAGGTTGGCAGAGGTAAAAGAGGTGAAGGTGGAAGGAGTGGCAGGAGAGACGGGCACACTCAATTGAACTTTCATTAAAAAAAAAAAAATCTGCTTATGAGTGGACCTATGCAGTTTAAACACGTTGTTTGTTGTTCAAGGGCCCACTATAGTTATGAACAGTCCTAATTTTTTTTATTTATTAATTTTATTTATTTATTTATTTATTTATTTATTTTGAGATGGAGTTTCTCTCTTGTTGCCCAGGCTGGAGTGCAATGGCGCAATCTCGGCTCATTGTAACCCCCGCCTCCTGGATTCAAGCGATTCTCCTCCTGAGTATCTGCGACTACAGGAACATGCCACCACGCCCGGCTAATTTTGTATTTTTAGTAGAGACAGGGTTTCACAATGTTGGCCAGGCTGGTCTCAAACTCCTGACCTCAGGTGATCTACCTGCCTCAGACTCTCAAAGTGCTAGGATTACAGGTGTAAGCCACCGTGCCCGGCCCTTGTTTTTAATATCTACAGCAATATTAGGCCTTTTTTGTTCCAGGTAGTATTTTATTGGTAACTTTTTTCTTGTCGGTTTGAAAAGTCTTGATTTTATGTCTTTTCAAAAAAACAATTTTGGGTTTTATTGATTTTTCTCTACTGTATATTCACTTTCTATTTCATTAACTTATGTTATTATTTCCATTCATTTCATTATTATGTGCTTTCTTTTACCCAGGAGTCATTTTAAAATATTTCATACTTTCCAAACTTATTTTTCTAATGATCTCTACTGTACTGCACTATAGCCAGGAAATGTTAATAAATACGCTACCAATATTATGAAACTTGAGATTTGCTTTATTATCTAGTATTCGGTTTATTTTCACAAATCATATGTGCTTCAGATATGTATTTTGCATTTATTTTGGCACAATATACTATACATGTCCATTTTTTATTTAAATCTTCTATATCCTTAATTTTTAAAAAATCTGAACAATTATTAGGTGTTAAAAGTCTCTCACCATGTTGATGGAGATGTCCATTTTTCCCTGTAGTTATATCATATTTTTGCTTTATGTATTTTCAGGCTACATCAATAGTTACACACAAATAGAAATGTTATATTTATTGGTGAATTGAATCTTTCATCATTTATGTAGCAAACATTTTCTCCAATATCTTTGCCTTACAATTTCTTTTTGCCCAGCCAGTTTTCTTCTTATATTTGTGTGGTATATACATTTCCATCTTTTTACTTTCAACCTTTCTGAATCTATATTTTAGATGTGTTACTTCACCCAGCATATGGCTTAAATTTCTCTCTTTAAACTATTCATCTTTAAAACACTGTGTCTTTATCTTTAGTTGAAATACTACAGATAGCCTTTTGGGGTTCTAGATTTATAGGAGTATCATCTATGAAACTACCTACTTTAGATTGGCCCTATGTTTTGTATACTGAGCCCCTCTGAAATCATAAAAACAGAATTCAGCAAATTCTCTCAAGGTAAAGGCTGGCAATCAAGCTCACCTTAGCTTTCTGAAATTTTTGCCTTAAGTTTTTAACCTGCATTCTTTACTTTGTTGATAGCTCATGAATGCCTTTAAGATTTTTAGGCCAGACACAGTGGCCCACACCTGTAATCTCAGCACTTTGGGAGGCCAAAGCGGGCAGATCACTTGAGGTCAGGAGTTCAAGACCAGCCTGGTCAACATGGTGAAACCCCGTCTCTACTAAAACTACAAAAATTAGCCACGTGTGGTTGCACACTTCTGTAATCCCAGCTACTCCGGAGGCTGAGGCAGGAGAATCACTTGAACCCGGAAGAAGCAGGGTACAGCGAGCTGAGATTGTACCACTGCACTCCAGCCTGTGCAACACAGCAAGACTCCAACTCAAAAATAAATAAATAAATAAATAAATAAAACAAGATTTTTAAAAAATTATCAAGCTTCTTTAGCTGTTTTCAGCAGGAGTCAGTCTTGTTACCCATACTGACCTATTCATTCTTCACTGGCTGCACATCATCTTTCTATACCCTAAATAAAGGAAATGTATCAAGGCTTACGCTTCAGCTTACCAATTATGCTGCATTACACCACCTCTTTTGGAGACTTCATCACTCTTAGTATAGTCATTACCATTTATTACAGTGACAATTACATTAGAATTTCTCAACAAATATATGTATAAATCTTGATGGTGGTGAGGGGAGATGGGGAATAATTTGGGAAAAGTTCTACAAATGATATCTACACATACAGGAATAACCATATGGCCTACTCACTGTTCTAACGACTTCAACTACTTATAACCATCGATAAGGAAATATACCTCTGGATTGACCTTTTTTCTGAGATTCAGACCTGCAACTTCAATTGCTATATGAACATTTCCTCCTGAATTCCTACCACCAACACAAACCCAACATGGCCAGATCAAATGTCATCTTCTCATAAATTTGCCCTACCTACCAGTTTCCAAACCTCTATAAAAGATATTATAAGTCTTTGAGGTATCCAGACAAATCTTTGGTTCGTTTTTAAGATTTTAAGATGTCCTTTTTCTTTTCCCACATCATCACAAAGTCCTTCCTGCATTCATTTGTGTTAGTCTATTTCACTCAAGTCATTCCTTTTGTCACCCTCTTATTCTAAGTCTTTGCCAGGACTGTTGCAGTCTATCACCAACAGATCTTGCTTCTAGTACCTCTTGACTCCTATTCCTTCTGCATACTACTATAAGGTGAATTATCCTTAAAACATTGTATATCACCCACCCATTCAAATATATTTAATGAGTTAAGCCTACAGAAGTCTTCAATTGGTCAACAGCATATTTATTTATTTATTTATTTTTGAGATGGAGTCTCTCTCTGTTGCCCAGGCTGGAGTGCAGGGGTGTGATCTTGGCTCACTGCAACCTCTGCCTCCCGGGTTCAAGCAATTCTCAACCTCCCGAGTAGCTGGGTGTGCACCACTACGTCCGGCTAATGTTTTGTATTTTTATTAGAGATGGGGTTTCACCATGTTGGCCAGGCTGATCTCCAACTCCTGACCTCAAGTGATCTGCCTGTCTCGGCCTCCCAAAGTGCTGGGATTATAGGCGTGAGCCACCACATGGCCAGTCAACAGCATGTTTAACAGCTGGTCAGAGATGTAGGGAAGAGAAGAGGAGGGGTAACCAAGAAGCTATAGCCGTTGGCCAAGCAAATCCCATTTCATCCTGAGTGTTTTAAACACTGGTAAATTACTGTGGAATGGGATAATGCTAGAAGCAAAAAGTATCCCTCCTTTTCAGTTGATGATGGATTCTAAAATGCTGTGTATTTTTTATCAGCCTCAGTCCACCCAACAAAACAAAAAGGACCAAAGAAGGAAAAAGTAATGCATTCTATTTAAAACTGTCCTTGCCTACCCTAGAGGCCAAGCTCTTTCATGAAGCCATCTTCAACTACCACAATCACTGGTGACTACTATTTTCTCTAAGAGCCACAGTTTCTGTCTACACTACTCAATAAGCAACTGGGATATGCTACTTACTATTATAATTTATATTATCATGAACAAGTCTTTTCTCCCTATCATGGGCACTATGAAGGACATAATATCTAATGTTTCATATACCTAATATTTAGAATAATACTATACACATAATTTTCAATGAAGGCTTGTAGTACTTAGCATCTATATTTAGCTTTCTGTATGTCTTCTATATGTGTATTCAGGAGTTCTTAGAAGCCAAGGGGAAAAAAAGACAAAATTATCTTTAAAAGTCACACCTCTGCTTTTTAAAATGCTGAAACGATGTAACTTATAATATTTTGACATCATACTTAAACTGACTTTCATGATTCAGGTGGGAGAAAAAAACCCAACACTTAGGTTGACATATGGATATACTCAAACTAGTTTTTCTTTTTTTTTTTTTTTAAATCTACCCTGGTCAGACTTCCCAGAGACTTACAAATAGGCTGATAATATCATCTAGAACTTCAGTCAACTATTTTATAATAAAATTCAAGGAAAAAGTTCAGAATTCTCCAAAGTGCCTTTCAGATATATACTTATTGCAGTGTTTATAAAATTGTGGTTTTCACTTTTTACTGATTTAAGGGCTAACATTGTAAAACAGTCATTTATTTACATCCCTATTTCCCACAATAGCCTATAGCATTTTGAAAGAACAAGATTTATTCATCTTTTTTCTTTGGTACCAAGTAGTTGATAGGGACTCAATAAATGTTTATTGAATAAATCTGTCACAACTCACAAGACAGATCTAAAAATCCATGAATATCCTATTTAATTATTTTAAGATAAATTATGTTATTATACCATAAGATATTCAATAAGACATAAATATTTTAGTTATTAATTATTGTTTAAAAAAAAAGAGCCAGAAGGGAAAAGCCACCTAACAGCACAAAAAATCTGTAAGACTCCTTTAAGGTTTTTATGTTTTGATGACAAACAGAAACCAATCACCTTTAAAAGGAAATGAACACAAGAGGCAGCAGATAAAAAGTTAAAAACTACAGCTTATATTAATAATCAACAACTTTTACAGCAATTCATTAATTAGATTTTAGTGTAGCTTATAAGTTTAAGACTGAGAGCGTTTCAGTATTATCCACATTTCAGATGTCATACACAGCAAAAGGCATATCATTACTGAAGATAAATATTTTGGGTTAGCCTAAAAACTTTTATCTAGATCCTACCTCCAAAGCTGACAAAAATATTCTAATGAAGATGTTCACAATATTTTATTGTTTATTCATTTTTCTTCTGATAAGTTGTTTATATAGTAAAAAATGACTTGAAATAATGTCATAATAAACTAGTACTTTGTAAGAGTAATAAAACTATGAGTACCAATACATTTTCATGTGGGTCTTATAGAATTTCTCATTAATTTGTGAACTCTACCAAATTTTTAGTTTGAGGGGAAAATACTTGTTAGCCACAAGAAAAATGATCTTCAAACATTTCAATCATACCTGTTTCTGAGCTTCTACTTTTTGCTTTCTGGTTGGATCAATTGCATCTACCATCCATTTGATAGTAAAGTATGTCACTGCACCAAATATTGTCAAACGGAAAATTAAACCAACAACTTCATTCCGACTCAAAGGACGAGAAAAGGCTTCAGCATGTACCATCTTGAATGTTAACCTTAAAAAAACAAACAGAAATGTCACTAGGTAATAACTATACTTATTAAAATTGTAAGACTAACAAAGTAGCTTAAACTAAGAAAGAAAAACTAACTTCTAGTCAAATTAAAATATTACCTACCTTAAAAAAAGTGTTTCATTTTAAGGAGAAATGGATTTTTAAATGTTAAGTAAACAAATACATTTAAAGCTCCTCTTGCAAACTAGAAGTAGACTAGAAATTAAGATTTATTTGGTAGTAGAATTAATCATTTTATTTGAAAAATACAGTAAATATCTTAAGGTATTTACTCAAAACAGCTTTAAAGAACTATTTCAGAGTCTAGGAAAGTATCAACTATAACACTAATCCAACTGAAGAAAGGCAGCCCAACAATACTAATGTGACGGTAAGAATTTCTTCTATTAACTGTATCATATACCAGGTAATTTTTGAGTGAAATTCAAATTGTGAACTGACTCACTTTTTCCTCATACATACTTTTAAAGGTTTTCAAGGCCTGCTTAAATTTAAACATGCCATTTCCTCAGTAATAAGTGGTATTAACTTTTTTGAGCCACACTATTGTTCCCAACAACCGGGCTAAGTAGGAAGCAATAGAACTTGGAAAAATCTTGAACTGAGACAACTACTACAAGAATACAGCACTCACCCAAGCTAAAGAGAAAAAAAATGAGATAAATGTGCCTATTTTTGCATATATCCCTGAACAGCTACATCAATCAAAGCTAGGCTTACAGAAGACATACACTCCTCTGTCAATGGCAATAACTACCCGGAAGAATAAGCTTGTTAGGGATGATATGACTATCACATTTTGGGAGATAGGATCTTAGCTTCAAATACTGCCATTATACTCTCAGCACAGGAGTGTGCTGAATGCTATGGGATATATAAGAAAAAGAGAATATATATTTGTACTTACATAAACATGAAAAAAAACAGAATTTGTATGGCTCAGCAGATAAAAGTTAGGTACTGCAAAGATTAATATCCATGGTCCTTCCAGCTCTAAAATTCTCCTCTCACTACTACTAAATTAAAGAGCCTCTTCACCTTCCTCCCTCTAGAATAGCTCCAAAAATTTTTTATTTCCTTTTATACCCCTCACCTCCACTCAAGGATATATACTCCTTCTCTCTAATCAAAAGACCCCAAAGTATTTCCTTTATACGTTTCCCAAGCATTCAAAACTATTCTAATCTAGAATCTAGCTCCAGAGTCAATTGTAAGCATTTTCTCTTTCACCTCTTTTCAAAGGGACTCTATAAATAGCTGGAGTCACTACCATCTGAAAATCCCACATATATTTTCCCTTCAGCGTATCTGTCTAGTATCCTGCATGGGCCATTTACCCTCATTCACCTAGGATTAGTCAAATTCTATCCTAACTTCAAAAATCAACTTTATTTGCTCCATAAAGCCTTTCAAATCACATGAATCTTCGTATTATTCATTTCGCCCTATTACACTATCTTAAAAAAGTCTTGCTTTTGAGATATCTACTCGACTAGAGTTTAAATCCTTATAAACAAGATGTATATCTTATCTACCTTTATAACTGTCACACACAAAACAGACGTTTATAATTGCCACACACAAAACAGAGGCTATTCAAAAATTATGTTCAACAGATAAATTGTAACTGAAGGAAATCTCCCATTCAATCATTGCAACAGTCACTTCTGAAGGATTTCCAAAAGGTTCCACATTTCTCCACTAGGAGCCATTCACTTCACAATAATTAGATTTAATTTAAACTTAACAACTAAATAATTGAAAGCCTTCATTTTGGAGGAAGAAACTTTGGCCTAGGGATGGTAAATGATTTAATTCATTCAATTTGCATTTACTGAACATCTATATATGACGCCCACTATATATTGGATATACAATAATTGTTAAGATATCACCACTTCATTCAAAGAACACACTGTCCGGCTATTATATTAATTATAAAGAAAGCAAAAGAAGCCAAAAAGGAGAAGGCACCTAACTGAAATCTCTCTTCATGGAACAAACCAAAGTGTGCTATCTTCCATCAGCATGGATTCCAAAAAAAACGGGTTACACAATATTTCACTTCTCATAGGAAGTAAAAAACTGACTTTTCTAGTCTTTATTCCACAAAGTTGAAAATGCAGTTGAAACGTGTTATATCACTACGTGGGGTATACTCACAGAGGAAAATAATTTAGACAAGATAAGGGTTTTATTAACCTAATCTGTGAAAAGCGGTGGCATTCCAGTAAAACGTTTTCGTTTTAGAGTTGGTAGTGATAAAACTACCAACCAAGTCATCTACTGGATATTCATTGAACTACATGAACAAATTAGGGCTGTTATGAACACATCCCAGTCATCAAGATAGTAACAACTTTTAATCCCATAAAAGGTCAACACACAAAACCCGTTTATATCCTTCCCAATTCTGAAATTTTTAATGTAATAAAGACTTAGGTCTACTAAGGCCACTTGTAAAATAGTAGTCTACCTTTTTAAATTACTTCAAAATCCTTCAATGAAACTGAAACTTGTTTTGTAGACTGTAACTATATATACTTTATTGTACACTCATGTATCATTCATTTGGTATTGATATACCTAAAATGTAAGGCTGTTACAGCAGCAATACCATCACCAGCGAACATACAATAAAAGCTGCATGCGCATACAACAGCAGGGAGCGTATTTCAATCCTGTATAAACATTAGGTTCAACAAAATGAATACACAAATATGTACATATACGATGATAGTGCTGTATGCAACTAAGAAACATCCTAAAACACTATAACCTAGAGTTATTTGTTAGGCAAATATGGTATCAGGTCGTTTCATTTTAAGTTCTCCATTTCCGAGTGGAAAACCGTGAAATCGTACTACCTCATCTATGAGCAATTTATTGACATGTATAGCATTCATAGCATAGCATTCACTGTAGTATTTCTCTCCTAATTCATTGCAGTATTTCACAAATCGTTTCTCAAACTCAAAAGTCCCAGTTTTGCAGGCATAAAGGCCCTACGAATACAGCCTATGACAATGAAGGCCTGCCAATCTTCACAAAGAGGGCAGGTTATTATTAACATCACCATCTTTTGTGAAAGCGTGCCCGGCCCTGAAGAACCACCTTCGATTTTGCACAAGGTGGTGGCCGCGCCTGTGCGACAATCAGACCTGGTTCATTCCAGCCGCCTTCGTCTAGGTTCGCCTGGTTCTGAAGTCTTCCGGGACGACCTCAAACCCCCACAGTGACCAGGATGCCGACAAAGATTCCCTCGGGAATGGCACGAGTCTTGGGGAAGAGCTAAGCAGACCCTAAGGGCCCAGGCCGGGCCGGACGCCAAGGCGAGGCCCGGGACGCCCTTGGAGGTTAATCCTCTAGATACTAAGGGCTGCGGGGCGCTTGGGGGCGGCACTGAGGTAGGGCGTGGGAGAAGACCGGGGTGACCTTTCCTCCGGGGGTTCCCAGGTCCGAGACGGTCCTTAAAGGACCTCAGAAGGATACGACAACCATCCCATGAGGCCCCACGGGAACCAGCTACTCACCCAGGGGCAGAAACAGCAAGAGCAAGTGCCCTCAGCCGGCCTCACACAGGAAGGAAACGCAACCTGGGAGAGAACGCTTCCGGCGGGAGGCGCGGCGCACTCCCTCCCACGGAGCATGCGCGACCCGCGGTCGCCGGCGCGGAGGGGGCGTGCTCCCAGGCTTAGAAACAGTGAGGGAGAGCAAATTCGCGCACCTGATGTCTGCTTAAGCTACCTGCTAGACTGAGACTTTCTGCGAAGCCGGCGTGTCTGCGAGCAGCACTCGCTAAGGCTCTGCGTTTAACAGACACTACCTTTGGGAAGGCGCTTATCACAAAAAGTCCCTGCCCTTCTCGCGGGCTCGGGGCGCAACCCTGACAAATCGGGCAGCCTTCTTGAGAGTGCAGAAATGCTCTGCGTACCCAGCAAATACATTCTCTCCTTCCCACCACTCTGTGCAAACCCTCACGCCGCGGCTTTGTGTCTGTACTTTAGCCAAAACGCAGAAGCTTATGGCCACCCTCCACTCCTCACCCCTCATCCCTCACCACCTGCCTTTCAATTCTCGGGTGAGCTCACCCTTCTCCCCCATCTCTGTGCTGACAAACACCTCGGGGTGGCGCCTGACAATCTTTCCGCGAAAAGATTTAGCAGCCCACGCCACCAGACTCGGTAGTTAGGACGGAATAGGGCATCTGGTAACAGATTTTGCATTTTGGTGATTTCCCTTTTTCTTTCACCCCTTTTCCTTTCCAGAACGAGCGACGTGACACAAGAGGTCCCAAGGGAGCAAACCTGAAAGCCAGAGCCTCCTGAATACACAAACTGCCGGTGGGCCAGATGACATTAGACACTCCTGAGATACGAGAAGCATCACTTCCTTCAGACAGAGTCGGTGAGACTATGATGTAATGAGAGTTCTCCCTGTGTTCCTCAGGAAGGCAGCTTGTGCCTTTCTACTTGAGGCATCATCTTTGATGGCTAAAGAATTCTGCAGCTTGGCCAGCGCGGTGGCTTACGCCTGTAATCCCAACACTTTGGGAGGCCGAAGCGAGAGGATCACTTGAGGTCAGGAATTCGAGACCAGCCTGGACAACATAATGAGAAATCGTCTCTACAAAAAAAAAAAAAAAAAAAAAAAAAAAACCACCTAAAAATTAGCTGGATTTGGTGGCGCATGTCTGTAGTCCCAGCTACTTGGGAGGCTGAGGTGGGAGAATCGCTTGAGCGTGGGAGATCACGGCTGCAGTGATCAAGCCACTCCACTCCAGCCTGGGCGACAGAGCAAGCCCCTGTCTCAATAATAATAACAATTTTGCAGCCTGATTGTTAACGAATGTTACTAGTTACAAACTTGTAATAATGTGGTGAAGATAATACCTAGTTAATGTCTGCTGGGGTGGGGCAATAAGCTTCTATGTGCTTTACATGCATAACCTAAATATCTCCCCCAAAATCCTCTAAAATAGCTATCATTTTCTCCGTTTTTACAAATGAGCAAATTTTAAAGCTTAAACCTTAGAGAAACTTTTCTAAGTTCATATACTTGGGAAATAAAGGCAACAATTTCATTGGAACATAGGTCTGTCTAATTCATACCTTGTACTTTACGTTTTCTCTTTGAGATGGTAATTTAATACCAGCTAAACTTTAAAATCTAGTTGAAAGTAAGACCATGAAATGCCAAAATCACAAGGCTTTAAAGGATGGGATGAAAGGGATGCATGAATGTTGAAAACTATGATTAAGTTCATGGACAGGAATCAGAATGGAATTGAATACACCCGTGCCTGTTTAGTATTTAAGGCTTTATATACGTGCATGCCTACATTCCTAATTTAAAAAAAAAATGGATGTGAAGCTAGGTTTGGGATTACTAGACTATTTAGAGAGATAGACCTTTGAGAAGAACGGAAAGATTATGAGACGAGGACAATGTTCATTAAAAACAAACAACAACAACAACAACAAAAAACAGAGGCTATCAGTGCTCAGCAGACTTTCAAGAGACTCTCCACTGGGTCCTTGGATGATCCCAAGCTGAATCATTGCTTGGGAGGCTCATGGACACATGGTTTGGCAGGGCTAAAAGGGGGAGGGTCACTAAAGGCAAGAAACAGGTTTTGTGCCCCAATAGGGTAATTATATCCACTGGTAAGGAAAATGAGCTGAGAAATTCAAGATAGTAATGGATTTTCATTCATTTACTGAGTGAAATTGGTTCAACTAAGAGCCTCACCTGCCCTCTTCTAAGGACCAGGGTGACCAGCCTACCCAGTTTCAGTTTGCATGAGACTAAAAGGTTTGCTGGGATATAAAACTGGCTGACAAAGTCTCAGGCAAATCATGAGTCACTCTACTAGAGACATCCTAAATGAATCCTACAATGAAATGGAGTTCCCAGTATGGTTACATCTAGTCTCAATTCATCTGCCTAATATTTGAGGGATGATTGCACAGGAAGGGAAACTGTTGAATAAAGTCACGAGGCTGACCATAAAGAGTCTACAAGCTCGAAAAGTGCTACACCTCACTCCCTTTCCAGTGGTTCAGCCACTGGAAACCAAATGCCTACACCTATATGTTTTGGACCTAATATTTTCATTTAGCAAATCCGTAAGAAACCTTCCATGTCTGGGCCTAAGACATCAAGTACATTCATTTTCAGCAATCATCAAATCAATGAGATTCTTCCAGAATACAGCAGAGTGAACATATGCTTTTCATTCCAGGATAGCTTTATATAATCCCTGGCAACACAAAATACCATATTTGGCCCACAGTAGGGGCTCAATAAATAATTCAATATATATAATATTAATCAGGAAATTAGAGCAGACTGTAGACTTTCTGGGCCTTTGCTCTTTGTTAGAATCAAGATATTAAAAAGAATTATTACTTTATTCTAGAAAGTTTTTGGGTTTTGTGTGTGTGTGTTTTCTGTATCAGTAACTCTTAAAATAGTTATGGCAGTTCTCCTCCAAGGTGCTGAATTTTCCACTTTTGTTATTAAATGGAGTGTAGCTAGTTTGCTCTGCAATCAAGGTTAATGCACTAGACACCTGGTGGGAAGAAAGGATTCCTTAAATTAGGTGTTCTTGGCTGGGCGCAGTGGCTCACGCTTGTAATCCCAGCACTTTGGGAGGCCGAGGCAGGTGGATCACCTGAGGTGAGGAGTTCAAGACCAGCCTGGCCAACATGGTGAAACCTTGTTTCTACTAAAAAAAAATACAAAAATTAGCTGGGTGTGGTGGCGGGCACCTGTAATCCCAGTTACTTGGGAGGCTGAGGCAGGAGAATCACTTGAATCCAGGAGGCAGAGGTTGCAGTGAGCCAAGATCATGCCACTGCACTCCAGCCTGGACAACAGAGTGAGATTCCATCTCAAAAAAAAAAATTAGGTGTTCTCAAATTTCACTGTATATAGATTAACTTGGACAACTTGGCAAAATGCAGATTCCTGGCTCCCAGTCTTCAGAGACTCCCGTTCAACTACTGTAGGTTTTGGCCTAGAAATCTGCATTTTACAGTAAGCATCTGGGCTCTCCGCCATGTGAGGATGCAGGAAGGTGTCTGTCTGCAAGCCAGGAAGGATACCCTCACCAGACAGAGTATATGCCAGTATATTGGATTTCCCACCCTCCAGAACTGGGAGAAATAAATTTCTGTTGTTTAAGCCTATCAGTAAATCAGTAAACAAACATCTGAGCTGATTGGGATATAGGTAGTTTTGGACTCTATTTTGAGAAATTCTGCCCTAGTGAATGAAGACTGTAGATGTATTTTTGCAAAAATCTCTACTACCTTAGCCTAAAAGGCCTATCTGGTCAGCTGAACCATTAACCCAGCTGGAATACATCAAGAAATCAAGGCAAGGAAGCCTCATGATGAGATTCAGGATAGAACGCCTTTGGAAGGAAAAACAAATCTGAAATCTTTGAATAAGTAAACACAGTAAACCTGACTCTATTCATTGCTCATTAGAAGTAATTCACTTGACAATGATTTAGAAAGAATAGAACTTCAACAAATAGGTAAAATTATATAACAGTAATTATGCCAGTATAATTCACTTGGTTACCTTTGTTCTTTTAAAAATATCATAAAAGGATAATTTCAATCATTATTTTTTAATTTTTTAAATCATGTCTTCTGAATCATATGAACCATTATTTTGACAAGGTAAATTAAGTAGAATGGATGGAGAAAGAAAAGTAAAGCAAGAATATGAAGCTATACCTGAAGCTGTACTTGAAGCTCCAATAGAAAGATAATATAGAACACAATGGAGTACTATTCAGCCATTTAAAAAAATGAGATCCTGTCATTTGCAACAACATGGACAGAACTGTAGGACATTATGTTGAGTGAAATAAGCCAGGCACAGAAAGACAAACTTTGCATGTTCTCACTCATTTGTGGGAGCTAAAAATTAAAACAGTTGAACTCATGGAGATAGAGGGTAGAATGATGGTTATCAGAGGCTGGGAAGAATAGTGGTGGGGGGTAGGAGGGAAGTGAGAATGGTAATGGGTACAAAAATACAGTTAGATAGAAAAAATAAGATCTAGTATTTGACAACACAGCAAGGTGACTACAGTCAACAGTAATTTATTGTGCATTTTTAAATAACTAAAAGAGTATAATTGGAATGTCTGTAACAAAGAAATGATAAATGCTTGAGGTAATGGATACCTCATTTACCCTGATGTGATTATAACACATTGTATGCCTGTATCAGCATATATCATGTAATCCATAGATACACACACCTACTATGTACCCATAAACTTTTTTAAAAAATGAAAAAAAAGCTAAACTAAAAAATAAAAATAAGAAAGAATAAGATAGAATCAAGGAAAAAATAATGGAAATTTAAAATTTCAAAAGATTGGAAGAAGTAGAAAGATGAATTGATAACTCCATTCTGTAAAAAGAAGAGAACTAAAAAAAAAAAAAGACAACAGCAAAGTTCAAAGAACATATTGCTGTAAATCTACTTTCCATGGTTTTATGTTTTTAAACTTTACACATAATTTTAAATGAGTGTATATAAAAAGAAGTTATATATAATTTTCTTGTGTTATCAGGGTAATACTAATCCACAATCTGCATTTCTACGTAACCTTTTTCTCAAGCAGCATTGCCAAGTGTACTTTTTAAAAACTTCTACCAAAAAATGTTTTCTAGAACTTGGAAATTTACAACCTACAATATTTTATTTAGCTTTAATACAGTACTGTTCAAATGATACTATCTGTGAAAAATCAGGATTGAACAAAACCAGAATTGCTTCAGATGTCTAACCCTACTGTAGCCTCATTAGCAGAAGTTTTAAGGCGTAGATGAAAGAGTGATCCCCCTAGGATTAAATTGGGACCTTCATAATGCCCCTGCCTATGGTTTCTTAAATGGGGAGGAGGTGGGAAAGATTGAGTAAGAATAACAAAGATACAAATGCATTAGTTAAAATAGAAGAAACAATAGTTGAAATGTTAATTCTCAATTCCTGTAACAACAGATTGATAGATGAGGCATAAAACAAGACCAGATGCTGTGGTTTTCAGGATGCACTTGGCTTCCCATCCTTTATAACCTAGAGCAATTTTTGCTGTAAGTAGGTCACTTGCCTTCTCTCATTTACCTGATTCTAGGAAAATGCCCTTGAAAGTATTTAGAAAATAATAGGTACTGGTACTTAATATTTTAAAAATTAAGATCGCATAAAACCTTCCTCCTCCCACCCGTTTCTCTAATAGCCAGAATAACTGATAACCTTGAAACATATGTGAAACTAAAATGAACAAGAATAATTTGAGGTCTTTTATCTTCTAAGCACAAGTACACTAAACTCTGTGTCCATTCTGTTAGTTCCCGTAATTCACTTTGGTTAGCACTGGCATAGTACTCAGCTCACAGAATTATAGTTGAAGTCTTTATTCTCCTATAATATATTATCATCTTGAAAAAAGAGGATGCCTAGAACATAGGAGAGGCTTAACAAGATTTAACCTGACTAGAGAGAAAAGAGGATGCCTAGGACATAGGAGAGGTATAGATTTAACCTGATTAAAGAGGAAAAAAAAGGGAAGGGGGGAGGAAAGACAAGTGGTCCAAAGGTATGACATACGATTCAAACCATTTTACTGATGATAATTATATGATTGCCCTATCCTGATGTGTCCATTAGAAACTAGTCCAATCGGGGAGTCTTGGTATCTATAGGGTATAAGAACGTGAACTTGACAGACCTGGGTTTGAATTTAAGATCTACTGTATACTGACTCTGTTAATTTGGACAAGTTACTTATGTTCTCAAGCCTCAGTTTCCTTATATTTAATATGGGAACAGTAACAGTACACATGCCATGGACTTGCACTAAGAATTCAATGAGACAATACATGTACAGTGCTGAGCTCAATGCCTGGCACTTAGCAAGTGCTCAGTAAACATGCTGGTGTAATACCTCAGATGTTATTTTCATTATACGATGAGGTGATATTCTCTCATTCCTAGATTCTGTAAGGACAATGATCTTTTCATATCTCCTCTGTGTTTGCATGAGGACCTTACCTCTTCAGTTTTCAACCATGGCATCTTGTCTGAAATGTTTATCTTCTCTGACTTGTGAAGAGGCTGTGCCTCTCTGTCCTGCTGACCTCTTGGTTCTCACATTCCCATTCTTAATACACCCCTCTGGCTGAGTCTTACTGATCAGTAGTCTATAAAACATTTATGATAGTTATATAAAACCTGTAAGATTTCATCCCTACGACCCAAAGATAATAAAGTTTAACGTATTTATCGATCCATGAAAATTATGGATATTTCTCAGTTCAGAGACCATCATTAATATTGGCTGTTATTCCCATCTGTCAAGTAACAATCATTTATTGAGTATACATTCTTTGCTTTTATGAATTTCTAAAGATTGAAACATCTTATAAAAATGCAAGTCCTCCTACAGCTGTTGATTTTAAGTTAGAGGTTTGCCCTATATTTCATTCCTTCATTTTTTGCTTACTTTTCCTTACTTAGACTGCTGAGTGGATTTTGCACAAGAAAAATTAATTTAGTAGATGAAAGTGAGACGCTGAACAAGCCTTGAGATTTGAGAAGTCAATACTTTGCATGTCTTATCTTTTCTCTGCAAATCTTAACCTTTTTTTTTTTTTTTTTTTGAGATGGAGTCTTGCTCAGTCGCCCAGGCTGGAGTGCAGTGGCGCAATCTCGGCTCACCGCAACCTCCACCTCCTAGGTTCACGCCATTCTCCTGCTTCAGCCTCCCGAGTAGCTGAGACTACAGGCGCCCGCCACCACACCCGGCTAATTTTTTGTATTTTTAGTAGAGACGGGGTTTCACCGTGTTAGCCAGGATGGTCTCGATCTCCTGACCTCATGATCCGCCCACCTCGGCCTCCCAAAGTACTGGGATTACAGGCATGAGCCACCGTGCCCAGCCACAAATCCTAACCTTCCTATTAACCTCAGGGACAACCACAGCGTCAGAGCTGTTATTCTACATATAAAATTTAATTCATTTGAGCACAACACTTTTTTTTTTTAACTTTTAGAGACAGGGTCTCGCTCTGTTGCCCAGGTTGGAGTGCAGTGTCTGGATCATAGCTCACTGCAGCCTCAAACTCCTCGGCTTAAGCAATCCTCCCAGCTTGGCCTCCCAAAGCACTGGGATTACAGGTAGGAGCCACCATGCCCAGCCAAGTACAACACATTTTTTTGTTTAATTTACTATGGGTAATTAATAGAAACATTCCCAAAGTTGAGGGAGCTTTACTGAGCAGAAGAAATGATATATCCTGTCCAGACACTGAATGCACTTCTTCCAAAGGCCAGGGCAAAGCTGGCTGATTTTACGTGTTTAAGGATGAAATATCTACTAGGCCTTCTTTCACCTAGAGGGGCCCAGCAGCAGTTCACTGGCAAGCTGATGTTAAAAATCTCCCATCTTCCCCTTTTATTGTCATTGTTTCTGGAACCAGAAAACAGCAGCAGCAGCAACAACAACAACAAAGGGGAAAAAGAAAGCAAAGCCTATAACTTGTTTTATAGAAGCACAGGAAACTAAGTATACTAAATTGGCAGGGATGAAAGTCTCATTCAACTTCAAAATAGTATACCTGATAGATTTCACAAACCTTTCTACTTTCTAGCCTGCTGCTTATTCAGTTGAAATATCAGCAATTCTGAAACCTTTGAATGTCCAAGTAAGGCCCAGTGCCAGAGGCATGCCCCTACCCATTTCTTTGTGCCTTCTGAGTTCTCAGGTTAATGAGAGATCAGAAAAGGGGAGAGTAAAGGAGAGTAGACAAAGAGGCTAACTCCCCAATCATGTTTTCTTCTTCTATAGTGTTTTGTAAAAAGCTGAAGAAATGCTAATAATTCTTGGCTGGCTAAAAGCAGGTTTAGAATTCTGTCCAGATATTCTTGAACCTCTGGCTGGACCGTGTGCCACCTTCCACATTACAGTCCCTCCATCACTTAATCCTACTTATGTTACATAAACTAGCTTTCCATATATAGTCATCATAGTGTCCTCACAGGCTAGTATTTAAGAAACCTCTTCTGTCCCTCTCTCACCCCTTCCTTGGGACTCTTGGAAATAAACAGGTGAAAGAGTTTAAATGAATGATGTCTAAAGCCATGAAATACAGTGATCATATTTTGTCTTATTTTTGATGACTAATCATATTTCTTCAGTTGAATCAATCAGAAGGATTTGCAGCACCTGAACACACACTCATAGGCCAAAAAGAGAAGACAACTAAAAGTCTCTCTAGTGTTACCCCATTTCCTCCTCATTCTACAGGAAGATGGGGTCCATGATACTTCATTTTAATTATCATTCTCAAAATCTGTTTCTGAACCCAACACAGGAAATTTATCAAGCATAGAGTGCCAGGTAGGTGAAGAACAAATATAGTCTCTGCCAAAGTAGTTTGAAGCATGCAGGATGCAGATTATGGCTGTTTTATTCAGTATTTAATATACCATTATTTACTGTTACTAAATATCATGATACTATTTATATAATGTCATAATGCTAAATATTTAATAATTTAATAAAATTCTGTTTCAGTATTTATGCAGTATTTGAGAAATTCTAAATTATGACAGTACTCAATGAGAGGTACCAGCTCCGTGGCCTGTCACACGTCAGGTAGCCTTTCTGGGTTTCCTCCTCTGAAATGAAAATACAGGCATACCTCATTTTATTATGCTTCCCTTTATTGTGCTTTGCAGATATTATGATTTTTACAAATGGAAGGTGTGTGGCAACCCTGCATCTAGCTAGTGTGTCAGTGCCATTTTTCCAACAGCATGTACTCACTTTGTGTCTCTGTCTCATTTTGGTAATTCTTGCAATATTTCAAACATTTAAATTATTATATCTGTTACGGTGATCTGTGATCAGTGGATCTTTGATGTTACTATTGTGATTGTTCTGGGCACCACAGACCACAGCCATGTAAGGCAGTGAAATTAATAAATGTTGTGTTCTGACTGCTCTACCAACCAGTCATTCTCCTGTCCCTATCCCTCTCCTCAGGGCTTGCTTTTCCCTGAGACACAACAATATTGAAATTAGGCCAATTAATAACCCTACAGTGGCCTTTAAATGTTTAAGTGAAAGGAAGAGTCACACATCTCTCACTTTAAATCAAAAGCTAGAAATGATTAAGCTTAGTGAAAAAAGGTATGTTGAAAGCTGAAATAGACCAAAAGCTAGGCCTCTTGAGTCAGACAATTAGCCAAGTGGTGAATGCAAAGGAAAAGTGGTTTTTTTTGGTTGTTCGTTTATTGGTTTTAAGAGACGGGGTCTTACTCTGTTGCCCAGGCTTGAGGGCAGTGGCATGATCATAGCTCACTGTGGCCTCAAATTCCCAGGCTCAAGCAATCATCCCACCTCAACCTCCCAAGTAGCTTGTACTACAGGCGCACACCACTGAGCCTGGCTAATTTTTTTTTTTTAATTTTTTGCAGAGATGGGGTCTCATTTTATTCCCCAGGCTGGTTTCAAACTCCTGGTCTCAAGCATCCTCCCATATTGGCCTCCCAAAATGTTGGAATTACACGCATCAGCAACTGTGTCTGGCCTAGAAAAGTTCTTAAAGGAAATTCAAAGTGTTACTCCAGTGAATAAATGCATGATAAGAAAGCAGAAACATCCTAATGGCTGACATGGAGAAAGTTTTAGATGGTCTGGGTAGAAGATCTAACCAACCACATTCCTACAGCCTAATTCAGAGCAAGTCCCTCTCTTCAATTCTGTGAAGGTTAAGAGAGGCAAGGAAGCTGTAGAAGAAGGATTTGAAGCTAGCAGAGGTTAGTTCATGAGGTTTAAGGAAGGAAGCTATCTTCATAACATGTAAGTGCAAGGTGAAGCAGCAAGTGCTAATGGAGAAGCTGCAGTAATTTACCCAGAAGATCTAGCTAAGATCATTGATGAAGGTGGCTACACTAAACACAGATTTTCAATGTAGACAAAACAGCCTTTTATTGGAAGAAAATGCCATCTGGGACTTTTATAGCTAGTGAAGACAAGTCGATGCCTGGCTTTAAAGCTTCAAAAACAGGCTGACTCTCTTGTTAGGAGCTAATGCAACTGATGACTTTAAGTTGAAACCAATGCTCATTGGTCATTCTGAAAATCCTAGGGACTTAAGAGTTACTCTGTATCTACTCTGCCTGTGCTTTATAAATGGAACAACAAAGCTGGGATGACAGCACATCTTTTTACAGCATGGTTTTCTGAATATTTTAAGTTCACTATTGAGACCTACTGTTCAGAAATAAATGATTCATTTCAAGATGTTAACTGCTCATTGACAATGCACCTGGTCACTCAAGAGCTCTGATGGAGATGTACAGCAGAATGTTGTTTACATGCCTACTAACACATCATCCATTCTGCAGTCCATGGATCAAAGAGTAACTTCAACTTTCAAGTCTTATTACTAGAGAAATACATTTTATAAGGCTATAGCTACCATAGATAGTGATTCTGCTGATGGGGAATCTGGGGACAGTAAATTGAGAAACTTCTGGAGGGATTCATTATTTTATTTATTATTTATTTATTTATTTATTTATTTATTTATTTATTATGAGATGGAGTCTCACTCTGTCTCCCAGGCTGGAGTGTAGTGGCGTGATCTTGGCTCACTGCAACCTCTTCCTCCCGGGTTCAAGCAATTCTCCTGCCTCAGCCTCCTGAGTAGTTGGGACTACAGGCACGTGCCACGATGCCCAGCTAATTTTTTGTATTTTAGTAGAGACAGGGTTTCACCATGTTGGCCAGGATGGTCTTGATCTCCTGACCTCATGATCTGCCGACCTCAGCCTCCCAAAGTGCTGGGATTACAGGCATGAGCCACCTCGCCCGGCCAGGATTCACCATTCTAAATGCCATTGAGAATATTCAAAATTCATGGGAGGTCAAAATATTAACATTAACAAGTGTTTGGAAGAAGTTGGTCCAACCCTCCTACATGATTTCTAGGAGTTCAAGACTTGAGTGGAGAAGTCACTGCAGATGTGGTATAAATAGCAAGAGAACTAAAATTAGAAGTGGAGTCTGAAGATGTGACTGAATTGCTGCCATCCCCTGATAAAACTTGATGAGCTGCTTCTTATGAATGAGCAAAGAAAGTGGTTCCTTGAGATGGAATCTACACCTGGTGAAGATAATGTGAACATTGTTGAAATAACAAAGGATTTAGAATATTAGCTGATAAAGCAGTGGCAGTGTTTGAGAAAATTTACTGCAATCTTGAAAGAAGTTCTGCTCTGGGTAAAATGCTATCAAACAGCATCACATACTGCAGAGAAATATTTTATGAAAGGAAGGGTCAAATGTTGCCTCTACCCCCAACCCTCCACATATGGGGAGTAACAGCAGGACACTGGGCCTAAAGAAAAATCATGCCCTTCATTTGTGGAAGGATCAGCTGACCATTAAGAATGTTGCCAAGGCTTGCAAATGTGATATACCAGTGGGAAAGCAAATGCAAGCAGCATGAAATAGCAGTATAGTAAGGGCCAGATCAAAAGCTGTGAAAGGAAGTGTGGTTAATATAAATACATCCTATCTTTCACACCAATCATGATTTTTCAGAATATGAGCTCATGAACAGCTGAAGGAGAAGATTCTTTTCTGCTTTATGACCAACTTTATTGCTTTACTATCTTACAAGTTCCATATTTTCTTGAATTTTGCCAATGGAGGTTTTACCTAACATGGCACCTTTTAGGAATGTAATCATCCCCACTCTCAGTTGGTGAGAGATTACTGTAACAAATTCTGAAACACTCACATAGATTCTTATGAATCATGTTTTTTTCCCCCCTGTCTTATGGTGCTGAATGAATCATGTTTAACTGAGAATTAGCTAAGGGGAGAGTAGAGCAGTAAGGACATAGATTTATCTCTATTTGTGTTTTCATTTACTACTTTTATCAAGAATAATAACATTTTACCTCTTTTTTAAATACCACTCTCTAGAAAGTAAATTCAGGAGTAAGAAACTCCTTACCTATTCAGCATAATCCAATTTATTGTTAATTCCATTGTCTATTAACATAGTAAATAGTGTGTTGGCTTGTAACACTTCCCTCATAGAAGTAACAAACCAACTTCAAATTTAAGAATGATGCCTCTTTTTTCTTGAGAAAGACACCTGTTCCAGTGCATAGAAATGGCTAGGGAAGATCTATATCTATATTTAGAAAGATATAATTTCAATAAATCACAGACTCTCAGGATTAAAAGGAATACTGAATGTTATTGAGTCTTTGACCAAAGGCAGTTTGGATTAGAAAGAATGTTTGCTGTGGAATTAGATGTCCTGGATCAAATCACAGCTTTACCACTTAATGACAGCACATTTCGGGTGATTTATTTAACCTCTCTGAGCCTTGGTTTTCTCATGTATAAAAAAGGGATAGTGTCTACATTATAGAGTTGGGGAGAGGATTGGAGATAAGCTACGTAAAGGAACTAGGACAGACACCATAAACATTTTAGAAATGACTGTGTTTGTTGTCATCATAATTATCTCACCAAGTGGTCATTGAACTTATTTAAACATTCTGGTGACATAGGATTCACTAACTGCTTCAGTTGTCATCCCATGTTCAGAGAACCCTTCAGTGTTACGTCTTCCCTTTACTGAGCCTAAATATTTTCCCCTAGAACTTTTATCCACGATTCTCATTCTTGCCAGTGAGGCTGCACAGATTAAGTCTACGTAACTAAATTAAGTGTGAAACTAGAATGGAATATATGCTTCAAGAGTGGTGTGACCAGTGTAGATACTATAGATTTCTCATCACAATTTAGGATCAAACTATCTTCCTTTTGCTAGTAACCACCCTTTTGATACCTACTGAATTTGTTGTTCATAAAGCCTATTCTTCACTAGAGTTTGGGTCCTCCATGCTGTACCAGTCACAATTTTGAGGGAGAGACTCAAGTGCAGGGCCTTACAATTTAACTTGTATCATATTTATCAATAAATGTTAAATTCCCTATGATACAACAAATATAATTTGGCTATTTAATCAGTTATAATGTCGTATGGCATACCCATAAGTTACTGTGACTGACAAGTGGTTAAGAACCTGGTGCATTTTATTTAACAAACACTTTATATAGTATTTAATATATACCAGCTACTGTTCTAGGTGCTTTGCATATATCAACTCATGTAATTCTCATAAACCTGTAGTAAGTACTATAATTATTCTCAGATAAGGAAACTGAGGCACAGAGAAGTTAAGTAACTCATTCAAGGTCAAATAGTAAGTCCTAAAGCCAGGATTGTACCTGGGCTATCTAATTCTAGAACCTGTATTCGTACTCATTATGCTCTGTTCCCAAATTTTTCTGTTACATAGATTGTTATGGCTTTTTTTTTTTTTTTTTTTGACAGGGTCTTGCTCTCTCACCCAGGCTGGAGTAGAGTGACAATGACCACTGCAGCCTCCACCTCCTAGGCTCAAGTGATCCTCCTGCTTCAGCACCCCCACACCAGGCAACATAACAAGACCCCCATCTCTACAAAAAATTAAAAAAGAATTATCAGGGTATGGTGACCCATGCATGTAGTCCCAGCTACTTGGGAAGCTGAGGTGGGATGATCACTTGAGCCCACGAGTTTGAGGCTGCAGTGGGCCATAACTGTACCATTGCACTCCAGCCTGGGCAACAGAGTGAGATCCTATCTCAGAAAAAAAAAAAAATATGGCTGCAGTGGGCCGTGTTTGTGTGGGACTGTTTCTGGGCTGTTTATTCTGTTCCACTGATCTTAAGTGTCTACCCTTTCACCAATACTAGATTATGTTGATTAATCTAGCTTTATAGTACAACCTAAAATCAGGTAGTTTGATTCTTCAACCTTATTTTTCTTTTTCAAACTTATTTTGACTTTTCTAATGATTTTAAATTTCTATATTTTAGAATAAACTTGCTATATTTAAAAATTTTAAATCATAATTTATATAAAATTTAAAATACAATTTAAAATTGTATTAATTTTAAGATCAGCTTGCTATATTTTACAAATTTGTTTTGTGAGTTCTGTTGAGATATTTAGTGGAATTGAATTAAACTATAGTGTCATGGGTTGAGTCTTCAGTTTTCTTTCTTTCCAGAGATGAGAGTCTTGCTATGTTACCCAGGCTAGAATGCAGTGGCTATTCACAGGCATGATTGTGCTACTATCAGCATGGGAATTGTGACCTGCTCCCTTTTCTACCTGGGCTGGTCCACCCCTCCTTAGACAACCTGGAGTACCCCACCCCTAGGAGGTCACCATATTGATGCCAAACTTAGTGCCAACACCCAAGCTGCATAGTGAACTACAGCCCAGAGCTCCTGGGCTCAAGCACTTCTCCTCCCTCAGACTCCTGAGTACCTGGTATTCTTCCAGTTCTGAACATAGTATATCTCTCCATTATTTATAGTTAGATCTTCTTTGATTGCTTTCATTAATGTTTTGTAGTTTTCAGCATACATATTCTATTCATGTTTTGTTAAATTCGTACCTTAGTATTTCAGTATTTTTGGAGCTATTGTAAATGGTATTGTTTAAAAAATATTAGTTTCCAGTTGTTCATTGCTGGTATATGGATGTAAAATTTTGAATGTGTGTTTACCTTTTGTCCTCTGACCTTACTAAAGTCAGTTCTAGGAGGTTTTTTTTAAATCACTTATTTGGTTTCCTATGTAAACAATCATGTCATCTGCAAATAGAGACATTTTTATTTCTTCTTTCCCTATCTGTATGTCTTTTATCTTCTTGCCTTATTACACTGAATGAAATTCCAATATAATGTCAAATAGCAATGGTGAGTGAAGACATTCTTACCTTGTTCCTGACCTTAATGGGTAGAATTCAGTCTTTCACCACATAATATATTAGATGTTGGCTTTTTGTACATGACCTTTATGAGGTTGTGAAATCCCCTTCTACCCTCGTCTGCTGAGAATTTTTTTTTTTTAATCTGAATGGATGTTGAAGTCTGTCAAATGTTCTTTCTCTCTCTCTTTCTTTCTTTCCTTTTTTTTTTTTTTTTTTTTGATAGAGTCTTGCTCTGTAGCCCAGGCTGGAGTGCAGTGGCATGATCTCAGCTCACTGCCACCTCCGCCTCCTAGGTTCAAGCAATTCTGCTTCATCCTTCTGAGTAGCTGGGACTACAGTCATGTGCCACCACACCCGGCTAATTTTTGTAGAGATAGGGTTTCACCATGTTTGCCAGGCTGCTCTCGAACTCCTGACCTCAGGTGATCTGCCTGCCTTAGCCTCCCAAAGTGCTGGGATTACAAGCATGAGCCACCAAACCCAGCCTGTTAAATGCTTTTTCTGTATCAAGTGGTATGGTCATGTAGCTTTTCCTCTTTACTGTAGTAATATGGTGGATTACATTGATTGATCTTTTGAATATTGATCCAGCTTTGCATTTTCAAGATAAACCTCATTTTGGCATGGTGTATAATATTTTTATATACTGATGGATTCAATTTGTTAATATTTTGTTGAAGATTTTTGTGTCAAGGTCCAAGGCAGATATTGTATGGTTTTTTCTTGTCCTGTCTTTGTCTGGCTTTGGTATCAATAATGCTGATTTTATAAAAATAAATTGGTAAATGTTCTCTCCTCTTCTATTTTCTGGAAAGAATTTGTGTAGAATTGGTATTAATTCACCTTAAAATGATTGATAGAATTTGACAGTGTAACCATCTGGGCTTGGAAAATTTTTTGAGAGGTTTTAAACTATGAATTTAATTTCTTTACAGGTATAGGATTCTTCAGGTTATTTAAATTTGCTTATGTGAGTTTTGATGGTTTGGTTTTGAGGAATTAGTCTATTTCACATAGGTTGTCATATTTATGTGTGTTGAGTTGTTCGTAGTATTTCCTTATTTTTAGAATACCATTGCATTTGTAGTGATATCTTCTCTTTCATTCCTGATATGGTAAATTGTGTCTTTTCTTCGTAATCTTGCAAGAGATTTGTGAATTTCATTGGTCTTAAAGAACCAGTTTTTTGTTTCATTAATTTTTCTCTATTGATTTCTGTTTTCAATTTCATTCATTTCTGCTCCTAGCTTTTAAAAATTTTCTTCCTTCTGCTTGATTTGGGTTTATTTTATTGTTATTAACTTTTTAGCTTCTTAAAGATCAGTGACGTGAGAACTTTCTTCTTTTTTAATGTCAATATTTCATGTTATAAATATAAATTTCCCTCTAAGGATTGCTTTAGCTGAATCCTATTCCACAAATTTTCATATGTTGTGTTTTCATTTTCATTCAGTTCAAAATATTTTTTCCTTTTGGCTTCCTCTTTGACCCATGGATTACTTAGAAGTATAATGTTTATAAATGTTTGGAGATTTTACTTTTATTTATTTCTAAGTTTATTCTATTATGATTAGAGAGCATATTTTATATGATTTCAATTCTTTTTTTAGGCTGGATTATGTTTTGATGAATGTGCTGTGCCATGTACATTTTAAAGAGTATGTATTCTGCTATTGTTGGGTGGAGTATTTTATAAATACCTATTAGGTACGGTTGGGTTGATGGTATGGTTCAATTTTTCTATATTTTTGCTGATTTTCTGTTTACTACTTCCATCCATCACTGAGAGAGGAGTATTGATGTTTCCAAATATAATTGTAGATTTGTCTGTTTCTCTTTTCAATTCTATCAGGTTATGATTCACACATTTTATAATGCCCTTCTTTATCTCCAGTAATTTTCTTTGCTCTGAAGTCTACTTTGTCTGATAGTAATATAACTATTCTCGCTTCCTTTTGGTTAGTGTTCACATGGCATATATTTTTCTATTTTTAACATACCTATATAAATGTATTTTGAATTGAGTTCTTTTTTACAACACATACGTAGCTCAGTCATGTTTTTGCGTACATTTTACCAACCTGTTCAGTGGGCATATTTAGGTGTTTTTCCATTTAATGTAATAATTGATATATTCAGATTTAGGCCTACCATTTTATTTATTTGTTTTCTATTTGTTTCCTTTATTTTCTTTCATGTATCTGTTTTCTCTTTTCTACCTTCTTTTGGGGCATTTGTATATTTTTTAAAATTCCATATTTTTGTTAGTTTTTGACTATGTGTCCTTGTTAAAAAAGTTTTTAATGATTGGGATCAAAATATAAATATTTAATTTTACACAACCTACTTAGAATCAATATTTTATAACTTCAAGGGGGATATAGAAATGTTATAATCATTTAGATCCTATTACCTTCCCTCTTTATGTTGCAGTTGTCTTATGTATTGCATTTACATACACTGAAAACCCCATTAATGTTATCAGTTTTGCTTTCAAACATGAAACAAATTTTAAGGAACTTAAGAGGTGAATTGTTTATTTACCTAGATATTTACCATTTCTGTTTTTCCTTCTTTATTCCTTGTTTTTGTTTTGTTTTGTTTTGTTTTCTTGGAGTCGGGGTCTTGCTCTGTCACCAAGGCTGGAGAGCAGTGGCACAATCATAGCCCACTGTAACCTCAAACTCCTGGGCTAAAAGTGATCCTCCCACCTCAGCTTCCGAGTCGCTAAGACTACCACCATGCCTGGCTCCTCCTTTATTCTTGATGTTTCAGGTTACCTTATGATGTCATTTCCGTCTGTCTGAAGAACTTCCATTAGTAATTCTTTAGACCAAGGTATGCTGACAACAAATTATCTTTGTTTTCCTCCCCCAAGAATGTGTTTATTTCAAATTTAATCATGAAGGATATTTGTGCTAAATATAGAATTCTGGGTTGACAGGTTTTTACTTTTAGCCCTTTAAGTTGTTCTACTTCATTCTAGCCTCCGTGGTTTCTGATGAGAAATCTGCAGTCATTCACACTGTTTTTCCCCTGTAAATAATGTATCATTTTTTTCTACCAGTTTTCAAGAATTTTTCTTGTTTCAGTTTTTAGCAGTTTGATTATGATGTGTTTGGGCATGAGTTTCTTTGGTTATACCCTGTTTGGTGTCTGAGTTTCTTGAATCTGTAAGTTTATGTTTTTTACCAAATTTAAGAAATTTTTAGTTATTCTTTCAAATATTTGGTACTACGTTGTATTCTTTCCTTTCTTCTTCTGGATCTCCGATATCATAAATGTTAGATATTTTGGTGGTGTCCCACCAGTCCCTCAGGCACAGCTTTTTTCCCCCAATACTTTTTCTCTCCATTGTTCACATTGGATAATTTCTGTTGCCTCATCTTCAAATTCACTGACTGTTTCCTCTCTCATCTCCATTCTGTAATTGAACCTATACAATTAGTTCTTTATTTTTGTTATTATATTTTTTAGTTCTGAATTTCAATTTCATTTTTTTATTATTTTTTGCATTTCTTTCAGGAACTTTTTAATCTTACGTTCTGGTACACTTTTCTAATAACTGTTTTAAAGCTATAGTCAGCTAATTCCAGCATCTATAGCATCCTGGCATTGTCCTCTATTGTCTTTTCCTAGGTGAGCTGAGATTTTCCTGGTTCTTGTATGCTGACTAGTTTTGAATTGTATCCCAGACATTTAATATATTATAAGACTCTGGGTTTTGTTTAAATCATATGGAGAATACTGATATTTTTGTTTTGGTGGGTAATAGATCTGTTTTGGTTCAAGTCAAAAGTTCCAGCCAACCTTCTGTCAGTTGTAGTTTCAATGTCAATTCTGTTTTCAAAAAGAATATTTTGCTTTCCATGCTATTTGGATCTATCCTCTATGTGTACTACCAGTCAGTAGTGGTAGGGTGGTGGACTTGTGTGGTAGACTCTCCTTTAGTTCAGTCTCAAAGTCTTTTTGGTACATATGCTGTTTGTGATCAGATCCATCCTTGTGCAACTTGAAGGTGAGTCTAGGAGGTTATAATCAACTTAACTACTACTTCTCTGAGTTCCTCCCTCTTCATGGTCTCTAGTACTTTCTTATTCCTGGGACTTCCTCTTTCAGTCCCACAGCCAGAAATCTAGTGCTTTAGTTACCCTGCTGTGGTATGTACTTTCTGGGGCTACACTATGTCCAGGGCTCAGCAGTGGAAGGACAGAGAAGAAAAAATCAACTGGTGTTTATCCCACCCTCCTGAGGCCCCAACTTCTCCATGGAAGAAGGTTCCCCTCCCTCAGAGATATTGGAGCTTGTCACCACCTGCTGACATTGCAGTCATTACCACTGCTTGGTTGGCAGGATTTCTAGGTGCCTGGGGCACTAGAGAATGGAGAACAAAAGAGAAGAAATTGGCAGATTTCTCCCACACTCTCTGAGTATTAGGAGATGCTTTTCCTGCTCCTTGAGCCAGAACTAGAGGGCTTCTCCTGGGGCTCTGTCTGTCTGTGCGTATTCTGAGTTTCAGACTGCCTTATTTCTAGACTGAGGTTCTGATAGGGAAAAAACAAAAACAGAAAACTCACTGCTTGTTCAGTAGTACTTTAAATTCTAGTCTTTTTCCCCAATTCACTTGGTACTTTTTATCTTTCAGTGTCCCCAAGTAGCTGTTTCATGCATTCTATCTAGGTTTTATAACTATATTTAATGAAAAAGACAGGGTGGGCTGGGCGCGGTGGCTCACGCCCTTAATCCCAACAGTTTAGAAGGCCGAGGTGGTCGGATCACCTGAGGTCAGGAGTTCAAGACCAGCCTGGCCAACATGTTGAAACCCAGTCTCGACTAAAAATACAACAATTAGCTGGGCGTGGTGGTGCACACCTGTAGCCTCAGATTGTGCCACTGCAGTCCAACCTGGGTGACAGAGTGAGACTCTATCTCAAAAAAAAAAAAAAAAAAAAAAAAAAAGACAAGGTGGAGTGTGCTTACTCCATCTTACCTAGAGCTGGAATGGAACATTGTTTTTAAATGGCTGTTATGGATTGAATGTTTTTGTATCCTCAAAATGCACAAGTTGAAGCTCTAACCCTGAAAGTAATGGTATTTAGCAATGAGGCCTTTGAGAGGTAATTAGGATTAGATGAGGTCATGAGAGTGGGGCATCATGATGGGATTAGTGCCCTTGTAAGAGGAGACACCAAAGAGCTCATTCATATTCTCTCTCTCTCTCTCTCTCTCTCCTTTTTGTGAGGACATAGCAAGAAGGCAGCTGTCTGCAAGCCAGAAAGAGAGGCCTCACCAGGAGTTAAATCAGCTGGCACCTTGATTCGGGACTTCCCAGCCTCTCAAACTGTGAGAAAGTAGATTTCTGCTGTTTTCGCCATTCAGTCTATGGTATTTTGTTTTGGCACCTTGAGCAGACAAATACAATTGCCAACATATTCATGAAAAAATTCTTGGCACTACATATTGCCTCATTCTTCCCAATTCAGTCACTACTTTTCTTTATAATTCTACCTGTACATGTTTTCTGCAAGATTTATAACAAATTATACTTAGCTGAATTTCTAGACAGAAATAGAAACAAATCCCCCAACACTAGATGGATAGCTTTAGAGATCCAATAATTTTGTGCCATGTAGTTGTAACACTTCAAATATATATATTTTGGTATGTCTTTTTTGAATTAATTTATTGCTTAATTGTTTGGTCTTCAGTCACCTTGACTAAATTTGCCTGATGTTTCTCTGTAAATAATCTCAAGGCTAGGTGACCTAGGTCCTGTTTGGGCCAATTATTTTTATTTTTATCTCTGAGAAGCTTGCCTCAAAGAGAACTTATGGTTAGGAGCCAACAGTCCATTTCTTTCACATACATCCTGTTAAACTATAAGAAACGAGGATCGTATTGAATAATATAAATGAGTAGAAGGAAGATAAAGCAATTTGCTTGTCTTCTGCAGATAGTAGTTTTAAATAAATTTTTATCTAATAGTAAACAGAACATGAGTAATTCTTGACCATCAAGAGAAGGACAAGTCCTTATAATTGGAGTGGAACTGGACTAGAACTAGGCTATTGTCTCAAGTGGGACGAAGACTCTAGAATAGATCAGTGAGCTTTGTACCTAAGGCAATTTCATGTTATGCTCTATTGCTTTCCACCAAATGGGCTTCTTTCTTTCTTCCCCCCCGCCGCCCCCAGTAATCTTCTCCATCTCATCCATTCCCTCTTCTTTTTCTCTTCCTCACAGTTTTTATATCTGTGAACCTGGATGAATTAGTAGATTTAAAGAAGTAATGGGATTGTAAAAAGCTGCTGATCTTTATCCTCTTTAAAAATCTGTCAACACCTCTCATCTTTTCCTTGTATGCTGCCTTCCTATTCCTGTTCCACCTTTCCATATTGTCCTTCACTTCATGGCCAGGCTTTAGCCCTGCCAGTGGTGGCCAGAGACATGAATTAACTCTGTTTGAGTCATTTAGGAATAAAAAGATTATTACTGACCTCAATTCTAGAATAAAAATACTGTAGTTTTTCTCTCCCACACTATAATTTTACTAAAATGTTACATTGTTCCAGAGTTAATCAGGATACTCTGTGAAATTAAACCTTAATTGTGATTTGGCTACTTCCATCTTAGAGAAAATTAAAAGAGAAATATTAGAAAATGATAATTTCAGGCTGGATGCAGTGGCTCATGCCTATAATCCCAACACTTCGTGATGACAAGGCGGGAAGATTGCTTGAAACCAAAGGTTTGAGATGAGCCTGGGCAACATAGTGAGACCCTGTCTCTAAAAATAAAAGTAAAAAATTAGCCGGGTGTTGTGGTGTGCCCCTGTAGTCCTAGCTACTTGAAGGCTGAGGTGGGAGGATCACTTGAGCCCAGGAGGTTGAGGCTGCAGTGAGCCATGATTGCGCCATTGCACTCCAGCCTAGGTGACAGAGTGAGACCCTATCTCTGAAAAAGAAAAAAGAAAATGATAATTTCATCAGAACTTGTTTGAAAGAGAAACGTTAGTTTCTTGAACAAAATTAGGAGTGCACATTTGAGGGAATTTTGGTTATTTCTACTGCAACTGAGGAAACAGGTATATTACTATGTTTGATTTGTAATTAACTAGGCCTCATAGCCCTTTTTTCACCCCTTCAGGGAACAGAATATTTCTTAAGTTTGACATTTCCTCTGTTGATGTTCCCTTTGGAAAACATAAAATATAAATAGTGATTAAGGTCTTTCCAGATAGTGTCCCATACCAAAGTGTAGAAAGAACATACATAATGTCCCATACCAAAGCGTAGAAAGAACATAACATGACATGATAATGTAAAGTAATATATGATGATATTTTTATCTCAGGGCTATATTATATCCAGCTGATAAGTTGTATTTGTATGTTTGTTTATAATTGAAAAAGTATGTAGTCTTTTAGTCACGGAGCTTATGAGTACTTAACTGAGCATCTCTCTGATACGTAAAAAAACTGCTAGCATGAGAAGTACAAAGGTACAAAGATTTACCTAGTAATTTTTTTTTTTAATCTCTAAGAAACTTCAGTGGAAGCAGGACTGCTTCCACTGTAGTGAAAGCTAAGATGTAGTTAGGAGTTGTCAAGCTTTACACTAGAGCCTATATGAAGTTTTGATTCTAAGTGTTAATGTACCTTCTGACAACTGTGAATGAACCTTGTTCCTGGGGAGCGCGTTCTGGTTTTCTCTTTGCACAGTTAAGCTGAGACTAGCATCATTCTAGTTTGCAGGTGACATTCTCTGGGAAGCTAGTCTATGGGGGAGATGACATCTTCTGAACCTAGTCCCCACAGAGAACTTTGAATGAGTGGAATCAAGAGGTTGCCTGCATTCTTGCTCATGTCACAATGCTGGACATGTGACTTCAGAGAAGCATGTGCCAGGTCAATATGATTGGGCTGTTCTCACAATACAAGGCCTTGACCATAGAGTGATTCAGAGGCAAATGCAGCCTTCTTAGACTCTTAACCAAAACATTGGCATGACATAAAATTATAATTAATAAAAGATATACAGTTATTTCAAAAGTACCGTTTTATTGGGACATCTCAAAGGACTAAGAAAATGTTTATTTTCTTATCTCCTATCTTTTGTTAATAGCTGTTCATCGCTCATCAGCCTTTACTGAAAGCTTATCATGTATCAAACAATATGCCAGGTGTCAGAGAGGGCAGCAAAGAGAGTACAATTGAGTTAGATAGAGTACCTGCACTCAATAATAATAACAGCTAACACTTACATAGTGCTTTCTGCGTGCCAGGCTTGTCCTAAGTGATTTTACACACACACACACACACACACACACACACACACACACACACACACACTCCCTCACTCAGTCCTTATAAAAACCCACTGATAGGCCGGGTGCGGTGGCTCATACCTGTAATCCCAGCAACTTTGGGAGGCTGAAGCAGGCAGATCACTTGAGGTCAGGAGTTCGAGATCACCCTGGCCAACATGGTGAAACCTCATCTCTACTAAAAATACAAAAATTAACCAAGCATGGTGGCAGGTGCCTGTAATCCTAGCTACTCAAGAGGCTGAGACAGGAAAATCACTTGAACCTGGTAGGTGGATGTTGCAGTGTGCCGAGATCGTGCCACCACACTCCAGCCTGAGCAACAGAGTGAGACTCTATCTAAAAAAAAAAAAAAAAAAATTAAAAACCCAATGAGGTGGCTACTGTTATCATCCCCATTTTACGGATGAGGACATGGGTACATAGAGATTAAGTAACTTGCCAAAGATCTCACAACTGGTAAGTGGCAGAGCAAAATTTGAAAACAAACAATCTGGTTCCAGAAACTGTACTTTTAACCTCATGATAGCTTCCTGAGGAATTTATGATCTGAGTATATATAGTAAGTACCTCCCCTTTCAGGGTAAGGCAGTAGGTAATGGTGAACAGGGAAGCAAAAGGTGACTCAGGTTGAGTAAACAACACCAAGCATATCTGACTCAAGGAATGCTTCAGAGGCCAGGGGTGCATGCCTGTAATCCCAGCACCTTGGAAGGCTGACACAGGAGGATCACTGGAGCCCAAGTTCAAGACCAGCCTGCACAACATGACAAAACCCTCTCTTTACAGAAAATACCAAAATTAGGTGGGCTTTGTGGCGCATGCCTGTAGTTCCAGCTACTTGGGAGGCTGAGAGTTGGGAGAATCACTTGAGCCTGGGAGGTCGAGGCTGCAGTGAGCTGTGATCGTGCCACTGCACTCCATCCTAGGCAATAGAGTGAGACTCTGTCTCAAAAAAAAAAAAAAAAGAAAAAGAAAAAGAAGAAAAAAAGGAATGCTTCAGTCTGCTCCAAAGAAAAGAATGGAGTAATGTGAAGTATTAAATGTAGCAAGATGCCACTGCAGTAGCTCACACCTGTAATCCCAGCACTTTGGGAGGCTGAGATGGGAGGATCACTTGAGCCCAGGAGTTCAAGACCAGCCTGGGCAACATAGTGAGACCCCATCTCTTAAAAAAATAATAAAAAGTAAATAAAAATAAATGTAGCAAGAAATTAGAAATCTTTATGAACAGATGGCAATCCAGTTTAATGTTATGTGCATGGCCACAACCCTTATTCCACTACATCCTCCTTTCACATATATATTATGAAGGTTAATGAATACAATCATTGTGATAACATTTCTTTTCTCCCTTTCTCCCTCCTCTGGTAGAGTACTCACATAAAGGCTGCATTCACAATTGAGGTTAGAACTTGTCTAGGCATGTCTAGTGAGCAATGGGAGGAGTCTGCTAGGAAAGTACTTTCAGAATACTGGAAACCTTAGGGAGAAAACTCCTCCTGAAGGTAGAAAATTGCAGAAATTATAATAAAGCCTCAGCTGCTATAGGAGAAGGATAGCTTTAGTACTTTTGGTAGGGAAGCAGTGTAGCAGCAAATTTTAAGAGATATATGAGAGGTATTTAAGTGGATCATGCCTGTAGGTCATTTAGTAGTAGTATGCAATCAATAAATATTCATTATTACTTGTGTGACAGTGCTTACCCCACACTGTCCTTTATAGAAACATATTTGCAGAGACCTGGGGAGAAAATGCAAACATGCCAGAGGGCTTCATAAGACCATACATACCCTTTAATGACTCCATTAAGTGTTATCAACAAATGTTAGTAATAATAAATATAGTTATTATCATTATTGTTCTTATTACAGCCTCATTTTATGTTATTACTGATTTTTTAATGGGGTCAGTGAGAAAATAAGACTTCATTCTCAAAATATTCAAATGTCTAGTCAGATCCTGGCAGCAGCTGCAGCGGCTCTCCTTGCCATCTCCTTTTCACTTCTGGAAACATGGGCTCCCATGTGGCTGTCTTTGATGATGTCATCAAGGTGTTCAGTGACATGAAAGTGTGCAAGTCTTCAACACTAGAAAAGGTGAAGAAGCGCAAGAAGTTGCTGCTCTTCTGCCTGAGTGAGTACAAGAAGTACATCATCCTTGCGGAGGCCAAGAAGATCCTGGTAAGTAATGTGGACCAAACCATTGATGATCCCTATGCCACTTTTGTCAAGATGCTGACAGTAAGGACTGCCGCTACGCCCCTTATGACGCCACCAAGGACAGCAAGAAGAAGGACCTGGTGTTTATCTTCTGGGCCTCTGAGTCTGCATCCATTAAGAGCAAAATGATCTATGCCAGCTCCAAAGACGTCATCAAGAAGCAGCTAGGGGTCAGCACTGTCGTCTTCTTGGAGGGCAAACTTTGTGATCCCCTCCAGCGCCCTTCCTGGAGAATCTACTAGTCCCAGACCTGCCCTCAGGGATTGCAGGCTGCCCCCTTCCTGCCAGACTGGAGGGCCTGGGGGAATCCCAGCAGAGGGAAGGCACTCCCTTCACCCCAATTGCCAAACAGCCCCCCAACTCCCTGGATTTTCCTCCTCTCTCCATCCCTGACAGTTCTGGCCTTCCCAAACTGCTTGGATCTTCTGATTCCTCTTGGGTTGAAGCAGACCAAGTTCTCCCAGGAACCCCAGTTGGGGAAGGCCTATATATATATTTTAAAAACAACCCCACTCTCCACCTGTTCCTCCACCTTCCCATGCTACAACTTCTAACCACAACAGTGACTCTGTGCCTGTCTGTTTAGTTCTGTGTATAAATGGAATGTTGTGAAGATGGCCCCTTCCCATGCCAGCTGGTTCCTCTCCCTTGGTTATGGCCGCTAATGGAAACCGGACTAGTGAGCGACCTTTAATTTTTAAAAAAAGAAAATACAATAAAATAATACTCAAATGTTTAAGCAGATTTCCCAAAACAGAGTAGAATAGAATTCATATGAATAAGCAAACAATTTAATTGTTACTACTGGCATTATGTTATGGATTTTGCTTTCCTACAGAAAATAACTCCACAACTGATTTTATTAGTATAGAATTAATTTCTTGCTAAGAGTCATTTTTGCTTATCTCACCATTGGATATTTGCAAAGTCACTAATATTTCTTTTATCCATCATTCATATGTAAGTAAATATGTACCTTACTTCCTCTTTCCAGGCAAGTAGAGGTTCCAAATATAGCCATGTGTCACATAACAGGGATTTGTTCTGATAAACGAATCCATAGACAATTTTGTCTTTGTGCAAACATGATAAAGTGTACTTGCACAAACCTAGATGGTGTAGCCCACTACACACCTAAGCTATGTGGTATAGCCTGTTGCTTCTAGGCTACAAACATGTACAGCATGTTACTATACTGAGTACTGTAGGCAAGTGTAACATAATGGTCAGTATTTGTGTATCTAAACATACCTAAATATAGAAAAGGTACAGTAAAAATATGGTATAAAAGATAAATGGTATACCTGTATAAGGCATTTACCATGAATGGAGCTTGCAGGACTGGAAGTTGCTCTGGGTGAGTCAATGAGTGAGTGGTGAGTCACTGTGAAAGCCTAGGACATTATTGTACACTACTGTAAACTGCATAAACACTGCACACTAGGCTACAATTTATGAAAAAATTTCTTCAATAATAAGCTATTAAATAACATAAAGTTGTAAATAATAATAAATTATGATTACATATCAACAATATTTTCTTTATATCCTATAAGCTTTTTTCTATTTTTAAATTAATTTCTTAAAATTTTTTAAACTTATTTTGTTAAAAACTAAGACACAAACACCCATGTAAGCACAGGCCTACACATGGTGAGGATCATCAGTATCGGTGTCTTCCACATCCACATTTTGTCCACTGGAAGCTCTTCAGAGTTAGTAACATACACGGAGCTGTCGTCTGCTGTGATATTGAAGCTGTTTTCTGGAATACCTCCTGAAGAACCTGCCTGAGGCTGTTTTACAGTTAACTAAAAAAAAATAAGTAGAAGGAGTACACTCTAAAATAACAATTAAAAGTATGGTATAGTAAATACATAAAGTGGTAACAGTTGTTTATTATCATTATCAAGTATTACATAGTGTACATAATTGAATGTGCTATACTTTTATATGACTGGTAGTGCAGTAAGTTTGCTTGCACCAGCATCACCGCAAACTGTGAGTAATGCATTACTCCATGACGTTAGGATGGCTAGGTTCACAAGGCGATAGGAATTTTTCAGCTCCATTATAATCATGGGACTGCCTTGGTATATGCGGGCTGTTGTTGACAGAAACGTCATTATGTCACGCAAGACTAGATAATGAGGGAATCCTTTTCCTCCTAATTGGTTATTTGAGCTGTTTAATCTCCCTTCCACTCCCAGCAAGTGTAGTCATTAAAATACCTTACATAACTATGGAGCCTTCATGATTAGAACTGCGATATGATGATGTTACATACCCACTCAGGGTTCTCTGCTTCAGGGCCAAAGTTTGGGCAATGTCACACCTATTGTACTTTTTGGATGGGTTTCTCTGTCATGAGAGGAATGGGAAATGAAAGAAGGATGAGCCCAATGTAATTCTGAGAATCAGATTTAACTAGTATCTGATAAAGCTTGCAAAATTTCCATGTTGATAAGTTGATCTAATTTATTTGTTTAACCTGCTGTATAATGTTTTATCATATGAAAATATCACATTTGATTTATCTATATGGAACATTTAGATTCTAATTTTTTGCTGTTTTAAATAATATTTCCATGAATTTCCCTATATGTTTCTGCTTTCAATATATGAAAGTTTTGCTAGAGTAGGGGTCTTTAAACTTTTTTGTTAGCTTATCCCACAAACAATTTGGAAAAACTTTTCCTCTATACACATGGTAGAGTTAGAATTGAACTTTTTTATTCTAAGTTTAAGTAGGTGGAAAGGAAGTAATTTCCTAGTTATGTAACTTTTTTTTTTTTTTTTTTGGAGACAGAGTTTTTGCTCTTGTTGCCCAGGCTGGAGTACGATGGCGCAATCTTGGCTCACTGCAACCTCCACCTCCCGGGTTCATGCGATTCTCTCCTGCCTCAGTCTCCCGAGTAGCTAGGATTACAAACACCCGCCACCACGCCCTGCTAATTTTTTTTTTTTTTGTATTTTTAGTAGAGACAGGGTTTCACCTGTATTTTTAGTAGAGACGGGTTTTCACCATGTTGGCCAGGCTGGTCTCGAACTCCTGACCTCAGGTGATCCACCCGCCTCGGCCTCCCAAAGTGTTGGGAGTACAGGCGTGAGCCACCATGCCTGGCCTATGTAACATTTAAAGTAGAATTCTTAAGTGTATCCAATATTCATAAATACCATAGTAATTTGTTGCCATTGCCCATCAAAACATTAAAAAAACGAACAAGCATTTTTTACAATGGGAAATTTTACATCATTCTTTTTTCTCTTTGAACTTGAATTTTTTTTCCAATTCTGATACAGATTTTTATTTGGATGTAATATATATTATGTGTGAATATCTTTTATTGATGATGACTGTATCATATTTCCATGCAACAAATTTTATAAAAATTTAAATTGTGTTAAATTTTCTGGACCATAATGCTCCTCAGTGTTAAAAATTATTCCAAATTATCATTAATATTTTTGTATAATCAAATAAATACTTTTAAATTTTGATAATTATTAAATATAAAAAAATCAACTGGGCTTAAAAAATTGGTTTATATATCACAAATGAATTTTATATATTCCTAGAAGGAGACAAGTTCAGCATTAGATCATTTATCCCTAGTTTTTGCTTTTATGTTGTAAACATTGAGTAATATTATTCACATAAGTAGATGGTGAGTGAAAGGAAGTGTTTTAGCAGTGTTACTCATTTATTTGAAAGCTTCCCAAATTATATGTCATACATCACTTAGTGATCTTATTTGTAATGATTTTTCAATGAATAGTTTCAATAGGTTCTCCTTCAATTTACCAGAAAAAAAATTAATGTTAAACAGGTTAACTTTTAAAAGGGTTTGTTGGTAAAATTATTCAGCTACTTAGCAGCAATATCATTATTGCAGATGATCTCTTTAGCTCCTTGCAGGTTTTTACACTTTCAGGCAGTACATCGTTTCAGCATTCAGATGGAGAGGGGTATTCTGTTCTCTTTTAAAGTGGGATAAAGGGCACTGTGAAAGGGGAAATGGGGACAAGGAACTACTAGGTCCACTTGACTACACTAGTTCTGAGGCACATCAGATTTAGGAGAAAGTGTATATGGAAGTTATGGAATTGATTCTCTTGAAACTAAGAACCTTATTTCTCCTATTTGAAGACCACTACTCTGATGTTTATACCCAAAAGTGGAATTGCTTGTGTTGGAGTCTCCTAAGCTGTGTAACTGTTTCACTGAAGTCACATCACTGAGGACATTGCTGTGCCTCTCAAGGACTCAGGAACAGTCCCTCTGTCCATATATGTAAGTCATAGCAATCTTCTATATTTGGGAAAAATCCCTTGGTCGCCTTATTTAAATAACTGGTGAGCAATGAGTAGTAATCCATCAGTGTTCTATGAGACACCAAATTTCTTTCTATAATGTGGCTTTTGACAACTTCTGGAAGTATTTTTATTCATGATTCTCACATTTCTTTCTTTAAAGGGCATCATTAGTCTACCATCAACCAAGATGTTATACAAAGACAGCATCGTAATTCATTTACATTGAGTGCCCTAAAGCACAAATGCCTTTAAGGCCTTCTTTACTCTCTATTAATTGCAAAATAAACAGATGTCTACTGGAGAAGGTTATTAGAAATAATTTGTGCAGTTTGGGAGAACTAGGGGTCAGGATTCCTTGACTCAGCTTCTGAAACAAACTCAAGCCCACTAAACCACCAAGGTAACTACATCCAGAAATCTGCAAACCAGAAAATGTTTGCCCTGAATAAGGTAAAGGACAAAAAAGAATAAGGGCAAACATTTTCTGGTTTGCAGATTTCTGGATGTAGTTGCAAAGGACAGTACATTTCAAAAACAGAGTAATGGCCATTCTCAAGCAGGACTCAGTTTAATTCTACTTGAAAAGAGTGAGAACATTTAATGTGCCAAATTCAAGTCATAAGGAAAAGTTGACCAGTTAATAGGACAAATGCCACAACATTGTAAAATAAACAAGATTTGAAATGCAGAAAATCCTATTTTACAATGAACAAGTCTACAAGAACACAAGAATAAAGCACACCTTAATTAAGTCCTCCCTCTTACTTGTTTCAACAGGTGAGGTAGGAAAACAGTGGTCCTATGAGTGGCAGCAGCCAATGGCCTGGGGCTGCACCCTGGGAGCTAGCCAAGACAAAGATGCCATGTCCAGAAAAGAAATTTCAGAAATGACTTATGGCTCAGAGCCATGTATGTAAATGAGGTTATTTTTTTTTTCTCTGAAAATGGTCTGTTTCTATCCATTAGCTTTCTCCCAGTTCCCTGACTTCATAAAATTTATGTTAAGGATTTGAAATATTCCCAGATTAATTTTCAAGTACCATGACTTTACTTAGAGACTTCATTTTTCTTTAGGGTTCCCTGCAATGCAAACCTGTACCTTCTTTAATAAATGTAAATATTTAAGCCACGTGAGGTGGCTCACACCTGTAGTCCCAGCACTTTGGGAAGCTGAAGCAGGTGGATTACTTGAGGTTCAGAGTTCAAGACCAGCCTGGCCAATATGGTGAAGCCCTGTCTCTACTATAAATACAAAAATTAGCCTGGCATAGTGGTGTGTGCCTGTAGTCCCAGCTACTTGGGAGGCTGAGGCAGTAGAATCGCTTGAACCCGGGAGGCAGAGGTTACAGTGAGCCAAGACTGCCCCACTGCACTCCAGTCTGGGCACTCCGTCTCAAAAAAGAAAAAAAAAAAAAGTAGTACATTTAGTACAATTAAGTAACAAAAATCTACAAAAGGGAACTGTTCTATTATATTTAGAAAAGATAAAATTTCCCTCCTAAGCTAGTTCTGACATTAGGTTTTTCTATGGTATTCTTTCTGAAGTTCCTACAAGAGAGAAAAATCTAAATCACAATAGGAGTATTTTTTGAACTTATTCTATTGATCTTAAAACATTGTTTAATAAGAGACTTATAACTGGGCAGGGCCTAGAACTGCTTTATTTTATTATTTAGTGTAACCATGAAATTAAACAGTGGTCTACCATTGGGGACCAAGGTCAGATTCAAAAAGATTTAAATATAAATTAAAGCTACTACACATTTATGTGGTTGAAAAATCAAAAGGTACAAAACAACAGCATCACATATGATATCACTTGTGGCCCTTGCAGTTGTGTAACTTGGCAGTCCTGTATATATCACCTTCCCAGGGGATCTCTCAGCCATATCAGTTTCTTGTATATTAATAAGGGGAATCTTGAAAGATAGAGGTCAAGAGGAGAAAAATAGGGATTGGAAGAAAGAATGGCAAGAGAGGGCAGGAGAAAGGAGAGTGGAACGATGGACGAAAAGGGAAAGACTGAGGCCTTATACAAAGGATTGGCAACTTTCTCCCAGCCCTCTCTTGCAGTTGTCCTTGGTGTGTGTGTGTATATTTGTACATGAATAGAAGAGGAAGAAATGGAAAGCTGGTGGGGGCGGGGGGAAGCCACTTATCTGGGGAAGGATAGTGGTGAGCCCTGGAGAATTTTTAACTTAGTGCATGCATTACTTGAATAAAGTTCCTTGTATTGCCTTTTCTGATATCATTTTTATCTAGACTCATCCAAGAATATGTTAGTATTTTGAGATTTAGCTTTTGGGAAAAAATTCAAAGCTAATAAGCATAAATATTTGTGCAAGAAAGAGAAGCAGATATGCAGACCTCTACCACCTCTTACCAGAGACAAACTAACCTTTCTCCAGCACACATTGGCCTGATGAAATCTAGAATTAAGCTTTCTCTCAGCACTGACCTGCCTCAGACTGCAAAGAGGTTTTCTAACTGGTTTTGAGCCATGATGAAGGTGCTGACTGTAACTGCATGGCAGCATTTTCATTGACTCCAACTCTTCAGCAGGTGGCAGCGTTCTCCTTGCTCCATGTGGGTTTGGTGTTTCCTTCCTTTCAAAAGAGCACGGGCCTCACAGTCCCTTTTCTGTCTGCGGTCCACATGTAACGGCTGCCTCCTTTATATTCTTGTCTGAAAGACACTCTCCCAGTAATCTTAGGAACTAAGGAGGAGAAACAAATTTGCAACATGTGGCTATTCATGTTTTAATGTTTGATCCTTAAGGTATTTAGCGTCATGGGCTAATTTCAAGGCACTTAAGGTTAGAGAGTGAACATCGGGAATCATTCATTCACTTATCCTTGTTTTTCTCCATCCCAAACCCTATTTATCATCTCTATTTAAGCAATCTCCTTGTTTTCTTTGTTCACTCCTTTCCAAGCCTTGAAAATGTCATTAAAAACCATCTCTAGTCAAATTTCTAACTAACTCATTTAGGTTTCTATACAAGCTAGACTTTCTTACCATCTTTATTCACTGATAGGGTATATCAGGGAATTCTCCGGGCTCCAACTGAGGATCCCTCACTGAGTTGCTGTGTAATCTGGGGCATGTAAACCCTTTGCGCCTCAGTTTCTTCATTTGTAAAATGAGATTGGTAAACTAGCGGGTCTATGAAGTTTTTTTCTAGCTCTTATGCACTGGATGATAAAGCAGTCTGCCACTCTCTTGAATGGAAGAAGATGGGGGTACTGTGCTGTCATATGATTATTTTTCGAGGACATTTTCTTTGAGCAGCAAAAGTTATTAAATAGTACAAAGAGTAAAAAATAGATCTGGTCAAGACCATTGATCTGGGGAAGAGAGGGTATTCAGGATAAGATACAGCCTGTCTACCACACATCTCTACTATGTACCATTTATGGCAGATATTCCCATGTATTTCTATTGTCCAGCAAACACCAAACAGACCCTTACGCTTAAATTCTGGAAATTCTTTAGGGTGCTCATTTATTTTAAAATACAATTAGAATCGAGCTTCTTTCCTGGTTATTTAATATTCTCTTGATAATAGACATATATTTTTAGTTTTAATTCTAATGGATGAAATCACCTTTCTACCTTATAAATATAATAATCATTGTAAAGAACCTTTGAACCATATAAAAAACAATAAATAAAAAGAGAAATTTATCTCCCTTGGAAGCCTTCCCTCTCTATCCTGCCCTCAGAGAGAATGTGTTATCTCATCTCTTATTCTTCCAGATAATTTGTATGTATTTATGCAAACACATGTATATATATATGTATTATCACTTTTGTTTTATTTCATTGAATTTTAATGAATCTTTTGGGAAATACATTAGTCCTAGAGTAGAATCATGCTGTAAAATAGATGAGTAAGCACATTAACAAACTAGAAGATTAAGGAGCAAAATAGAAAACAACTGAAAACATTCAGTTGCTAATCAAATTGTCAGCTGATAGGATTCTTAAATGACAGATATTCTAGGCAGAACTGACCTGAGAGAAGGACTACGTAAAATGGTCTGTTTTGGGGGGTTATTTATAGGGGATAGGACTAGGGTCATTGTGGAAGATGGCCACCAACAATTCCTCCATGCCTCTACACGCATGCCACCCTTCCCACCAAAAGGAGATGGAGTCTGTTTCCCCTCCCTTGAATCTTTTTTCAGCTTCCCCAGTAGCTAGAACTACAGGCACATGCCACCATGCCCAGCTAATTATTATTTTTTTGTAGAGACTGGGGTCTTGCTATGTTGTCCTGGCCTCAGGCAATTCTTCCCTCTCAGCCTCCCAAAATGCTGGGATTATAGGTATGAGCCACCATGCCTAGCTAATTTGGTTTTTAAATATTTTATTTTAAAAGAATTTTTTTTTTGAGGCAGAGTCTCGCTCTGTTGCCCAGGCTAGAGTGCAGTGGTGCGATTTCGGCTCACTGCAACCTCTACCTCCCGAGTTCAAGCGATTCTCCTGCTCCACCCTCCCAAATAGCTAGGATTACAAGCATGCGCCACCACTCCCAGCTAATTTTTGTATTTTTATTAGAGATGGGGTTTCACCATATTGGCCAGTCTGGTCTCAAACCCCTGACCTCAAGTGATCCGCCTGCCTTGGCCTCCCAAAGTGCTGGGATTACAAGTGTGGGCCATCGTGTGTGGCCTGGAAAAAATTCTAGACTTAGAAAAAAGTTGCAAAAATGGTATGGATTTTTTTTTTTTTTTTTTTTTTTGACACAGGGTTTCACTGTCACCAGGCTGGAGTATAGTGGTGCGATCACTGCTCACTGCAACTTTGACCTCCTGGGGCTCAGGTGATCTTCCCACCTCAGCCTCCCAAGTAGCTGGGACTATAGGCACACACCACCATGCCCAGCTAATTTTTGTATTTTTTGTAGAGACATGGTTTTTCCATTTTGCCCAGGCTGGTCTCAACCTCCTGAGCTCAAGCAATCTACCCACCTGGCCTCCCAAAGTGCTAAGATGACAGGAGTGAGCCACCATGCCTGGCCTGGTGTGGAGTTTACGTATACTTGTTATCCAGCAGCCCTAGTATTGATAACTTTTTTTTTTTTTAAAGAGATGGGGGTCTTGGCCAGGCACAGTGGCTCACGCCTATAATCCCAGCACTTTGGGAGGCCGAGGTGGGCGGATTGCGTGAGGCTAGGAGTTCAAGACCAGCCTGGCCAACATGGCAAAACCCCATCTCTACTAAAAATACAAAAATTAGCTGTGCGTGGTGGCATGCGCCCATAATCCCAGCTACTTGGGAGGCCAAGGTAAGAGAATCGCTTGAACCAGGAGGTGAAGGTTGCCGTGAGCCGAGATTGCACCACTGCACTCCAACCTGGCTGACAGAGTGAGATTCTGCCTCAAAAAAAAAAAAAAAAAAAATTCCCTGCTTTCAAGAGACGGGGTCTCACTATGTTGCCCAGGTTGGTCTCGAACTCCTGGGTTCAAGCCATCCTCCCACTTCAGCCTCCTAAAGTGTCAGAATTACAGGCATGAGCCACTGTTCCTGGCCAATAACTTATTAATAGCCACAGAACGATTATCAAAACCAGGAAATTAGCACAAGGTACGAACCTTATATGAAATTCACTTGTTTTTGTAGTGATGTTCTTTTTCTGTTCCAAGATTTAATCCAGGTTCCCTTACTTGCTCTTAGTTGATATGTCTCCTTAGTCTGGGGAAAAGACTTCTAACAGAGCTGGAAGAGCAGTGAGAAAATTGCTATTGAAGGTTGGAGAAATGGTGTTAGTAGTGGCAAGATGTTTGACAACCCTTGTGGTCAGATGTATGGTAAAACATAGAAGACAGAAAGTGTACCTAATAAACTTGTGGATTTGGCAACATTCAGGCTGAATGTTCAGAGTGACAATTGGCTTCTTTTAGGGATGTACGAAGATACACAAGTGATGTATGATGATAACACAAGAGACAGAGATGTGTTAAAAAAGGAACTATCCCATTTTTAAGCAGAGTCTCTTTATGCCAGAAAGACTCTCAAAGTAAGAAATGGCCTCAAGGGCCTGCCTGTAGAATTGGCCTCAAGTTAAAGATCTTATCGAGACTTGGTGCTAAGACCTCTAAAATATTTAAGATATTGCCTCTCATCTAGACAAAAGGTCTTCTAAGAATCTTAAGTGTTGTCCCACAGTAGTCACCTCTACAGGTCCACAGTAGAGAGAGGTTTTTTAAATTTTTAATTTAAATTTTTAATTTTTTTCAGAGACAGAGTCTCGCTATGTTTCCTAGGCTGGTCTCAAACTGCTGGCCTCAAGCAATCCTCCCACCTTGGCCTCCCAAAGTGCTAGGACTACAGGCAGAGAGGTTTGTTTTTGAAAGAATTATAGATGTTGCTTTGCGGGCAAGAAGTGAACCCCAATAAGAGTCACAAAATTTTAAAGAGAGTTATATGGATAAAATTGCACCAGCTTGGACTAAGGAAGAGACAGTTCAAAATGAAAAAACCTTCCAAGCCCCCAACTTCCTACGGGCAGGAAGCAGGCTGAGAGAGTTATTTAACTGTAAAAGGAAGGAAGGCAGTTTCTTTTCTTTTTTTTTTTTGGTGGTGTTAGTAACTTTTATTGAAGCGGCAGTGTACAGCAGCAGAGGTACTGCTCCTTGCAGAGCAGGCTAACCCACAAGCGATGTGCCCGGCGTAGCTGCTCAAAAGCAGTTCTGCGCTTATATTTATACCTACTTTTTTGTTTTTGTTTTTGTTTTTTTATTATACTTTAAGTTCTAGGGTACATGTGCACAATGTGCAGGTTTGTTACATATGTATACATGTGCTGTGTTGGTTTGCTGTACCCATTAACTGGTTATTTATATTAGGTATTTCTCCTAATGCTATCCCTCCCCCATCCCCCCCACGACAGGCCCTGGTGTGTGACATTCCCCGCCGTGTGTCCAAGTGTTCTCATTATTCAATTCCCACCTATGAGTGAGAACATGTGGTGTCTGGTTTTCTATCCTTGTGATAGTTTGCTCAGAATGATGGTTTCTAACTTCATCCATGTCCCTACAAAGGACATGAAGCTCATCCTTTTTTATGGCTGCATAGTATTCCATGGTGTGTACGTGCCACATTTTCTAAATCCAGTCTATCATTGATGGACATTTTATGTTGGTTCCAAGTCTTTGCTATTGTGAATAGTACCTCAATAAACATACGTGTGCATGTGTTTTTATAGTAGCATGATTTATAATCCTTTGGGTATATACCCAGTAATGGGATTGCTGGGTCAAATGGTATTTCTAGTTCCAGATCCTTGAGGAATCGCCACACTGTCTTCCACAATGGTTGAACTAGTTTACAGTCCCACCAACAGTGTAAAAGCTATTCTCCACATCCTCTCCAGCATCTGTTGTTTCCTGATTTTTTAATTATCACCATTCTAACTGGTGTGAGATGGTATCTCATTGTGGTTTTGATTTGCATTTCTCTGACGACCAGCGATGACGAGCATTTTTTCATGTGTCTGTTCACTGCATAAATGTCTATAAATGTCTTCTTTTGGAAAGTGTCTGTTCATATCCTTTGCCCACTTTTTGATGGGGCTGCTTTACTTTTTCTTGTAAATTTGTTTAAGTTCTTTTTAGATTCTGGATATTAGCCCTTTGTCAGATGGGTAGATTGTAAAAATTTTCTCCCATTCTGTAGGTTGTCTGTTCACTCTGATGGTAGTTTCTTTTGCTGTGCAGAAGCTCTTTAGTTTAATTAGATCCCATTTGTCTATTTTGGCTTTTGTTGCCATTGCTTTTGGTGTTTTAGTCATGAAGTCCTTGCCCATGCCTATGTCCTGAATGGTATTGCCTAGGTTTTCTTCTAGGGTTTTTATAGTTTTTATGTCTAACATTTAAGTCTTTAATCCATATTGAATTAATTTTTGTATAAGGTGTAAGGAAAGGATCCAGTTTCAGCTTTCTACATATGGCTAGCCAGTTTTCCCAGCACCATTTATTAAATAGGGAATCTTTTCCCCATTTCTTGTTTTTGTCAGGTTTGTCAAAGATCAGATGGTTGTAGATGTGTGGTGTTATTTCTGAAGCCTCTGTTCAAGGAAGGCAGTTTCTTATGAAAAAGGAAAATTGATTCAGAGTTCCTAGTCTAGACCCCAGAGGGTGGAACTAAGAGCTCTTGAGAACAACGCATTGGGAAACTATTCTGAGGGAGGCCAACCTAGGCACTAATGGAGAACTTGATCCTCAGAGGACCGGTAACAGTGCTTGGCTGGATTTCAGAATTGCTATGGACTAATGACTGCTATATGCCTTCCATTTCCGCCATTTTCAAACAGGCGTGTCTACTGCAGTTATCCTATCCCTTTTTCAGCATTGTATGTTGTGTATGTAACTTCTCTTTTAGTTAACAGGTCTCCAGATGAAGAAAAGCTGCATCTGAAATGCCTCATCCACATCTAGGCCTAGTATAGATTACTAGATCCTGAAGTTTAACACTGATGCTATATAGAATAATAGTTTTGGAGAAAGGGAGTGAGTGTATTCTGCATGTCGTGTGTGTGTGTGTGTGCATGTATGTGCATATGTATACTGTTGTAGCTGGAGGATGGATCATGATAGACTATTTCCCAAATTGACTGGCAACAATTTCTCATCCCAGCTGCTACTTCCATCAAGGAGTATCTTTCCCTTCCTTTTGAATCTGGGCTGTCCTTGTGACTTGCTTGGCCAAGAGAATGCAGTGGAAGTGACATTCTGGGACTTCTGAACCCAGGATTTAAGAGACCCTGTATTTTCTGCTGTCTTCCTCTTGGGATCCAGGCACTGTATAAAGAAGCCTGGGTTGGACCACTGAATAATGAGCAACCACACAAAGAAAGGAGGCTCCTAACCATTTTTAGCTACTCTAGCTGAGGTCCCAGACATGTGGTAAGCTATCTTGGACATTCCAGACCCAGCCAAATTCACAGCTGAATAAAGCACGTCTGACCCTAGCTAATGTCATTGGGGAGCCGACCTGTCCAGCTGTGCCCTTCCCCAATTGCAGAATTGTGAGGAAATAAATGGTGGTAGTTGTTTTGAGCCACTAAGTTTTAAGCGGCCCCCATGGTATCAGTTCAGGTCAGACATGTGCTTTATTCTGCTGTGAGTTTGGCTGGGTCTGGAATGTCCAAGATGGCTTCCCACATGTCTGGGACCTCAGTTAAAGTAGCTAAAATGGTTAGGGACTCCTTTCTTGCTGTGGTTGCTCATCATTCAGTGGTCCAGCCCAAGCTTCTTTACACAGTGCCTGGGTCCCAAGAGGAAGACAACAGAAAGTTTTAAGGTAATTTATTATGCAGCAATAGATAATTGAAAACAATTATCCAGCCAGGTGCAGTGGCTCACACCTGTAATCTCAGCACTTTGGGAGGTGGAGGTGGGCAGATCCCTTCAGGCCAGGAATTCAAGACCAGCCTGGCCAACATGGCGAAACCCCGTCTCTACTAAAAAAACAAAAAATTAGCCAGGCACAGTGGTGCATGCCTGTCATCCCAGCTACTCGGGAGACTGAGGCAGGAGAATTGCTTAAACACCTCGGGAGGCGGAGGTTGCAGTGAGCTGAGATTGTGCTACTGCACTCCAGCCTGGGCAACAGAGCGAGACTGTCTCAAAAACAAAACAAAACAATTATCAAATGTCAGGGTATCTTCCTATTGCTTTACCTTTACTCTGTGGGCTGGGAAGAAGTTGTAACAATGTCAGCCATAGAAGTCAAGTTTTCAATGCAGACTAAATTCCATGACAGTGAACACTATATGCCATAGTAGTCACTGCTCTGTCCATAGAGCTTAGAACAGTATTGCCACTTAATAGGCTCCCAAATATTTGTTGATTGAATCATTAAATAAATGAATTGAGATAAGATCCCCTACCCTCAAGAGGATGGACAAAAAAGATTCTTTAAATGGAGTGTGGAGTCTTAATAAGGGAAAAGAAGTAAAGAAAAAGCAGATAAGCTCTAAGTCTGCCTTTTTTCATGGTCCAGGGCTATTTGTCCCATGCATTTTCTCTTTGAAAAAGGTGCTGTTTTTTGTGATGCCTTAGAGGCCAGAAGGATGTTTTGAAGGGGAAAATTGTAGGAGTTAGGCAGAGCAGGGTTTTGGCTCCTTCTCAATGTCCCTCTACCTAGACAAATTCGGGCTATTCTGCAGAGGTTGCAGTGAGCCATGATCACGTCACTGCACTCCAGCCTGAGGAACAGAGGGAGACTCCGTCTCAAAAAAAAAAAAAAAAAAAAAAAAAAAAAAAATTTCTGCCTACTCTATGAAGCACCTGGTAGGTGTCCCAATATTTTCTGGTATATGGGAATTACCTTTTTCTATTATTGGAAGGTCTAAAAAGCAAACAATGTGCTCCATATGGCTAGAGTTAGTATTAAGGGGACCAAGTAGAATAATTGGTAGCTAGTGTTAGCCTGGAGACTAACATAGTCAAAGCTGTCTTGTCATGTTATGTCTTTTTTATTTGTATTGCTCCACGGTCCAAGACAAAATTTCTGAACGCCACTTGGACACAGTGAGTACCTGGTCTGCTCTATTGTTCTCAGGAGCAACCAACTCAACCCTTATTTCTCTGAGAATGATGATTTCATACAGCACATCTCTCTACCAAGATGTGAAAGATGACACCATGGCATCTGAAATAGCTTCAGGAGAGATTTGGGACATGGGAAGCTTGTAGACAATAATGGAAAATTCTCTTTTAGAATATAGTTACTTGTATGACCCACAGTAGCGCCTTTTGGAGAATGTCTTAAAATTATCTTTATTGAAAGAACAATAATGTTTGTTATTAGGATAAATGAAATAAGGGGAAAACCTCAGACCCTTGGAACAATGGGTTTACATTCAATCCAATGATTATTATGTTTTTATATTCTGTATTATTTAGAAAACAGTAGTTAAACAGACAGAAATACAGAAGATTGTTTAAAAATTAAAGCTATTGAGTTAGATCCCTTTTTGAAAGGTCAGCGTATGGGAGATGAGAAAGGCACTATAGAGATCAGAGTGTTTACACAAAAGACATCTTAGCAGATGACCTACAAAGAGCACATCAAGTATTTATATCATCCACATCAAGTTGCTGGTCATTTCGCTTATCAAAGAAAATAAGAAAGAAATTTTCTTTCGACATTATTTTGGTGTAGTAACAATAGAGTTTTGGAATCAGCTGTTAGAAGCGATAATTAAAGCTAGTTTACCATGCTTACTAATCAATCTACATAGTCACCCTGAAGCTTTATATAATTGTCCCTTTGTTACAAGCTTCTACTTCTCCCTATGGTATTCTGGTTCTGAATCCAGACAGGTAAAGAACTAAGTATGGCCGGGCGCGGTGGCTCACGCCTGTAATCCCAGCACTTTGGGAGGCCGTGGCGGGCAGATCACGAGGTCAGGAGATCGAGACCATCCTGACCAACATGGTGAAACCCTGTCTTTACTAAACTACAAAAAATTAGCCCGGCATGATGGTGTGCGCCTGTAGTCCCAGCTACTCGGGAGGCTGAGGCAGGGGAATTGCTTGAACCTGGGAGGCAGAGGTTGCAGTGAACCGAGATCATGCCACTGCACTCCAGCCTGTGAGACTCCGTCTCAAAAAAAAAAAAAAAAAAAGAAAAAAAAAAAAAGAACTGAAGTGCTTGGAGACCAGTGTATTGTAATATCTATACAGCCAAGCAGGTATTTTCAACTGAACTTTAAAAAAGTACTATTTTTGAAACTTTCTTTAGTTTAGATAGGGCCAGCCATTTGGGTAGAAAGGAAAAGAAAAACAAAAAATTGGAAAAGGATGCATCAGTATTTCTTTCAGAAACAACTTAACACTAGGAACAGAAGGAGGATTTTATTCACCAACTCCTAATAACCACCTGATGTTGCTGTTGGGCTGGCCAAATATCTGCCAACATTGATGATCCTTTCATTCACCACTAGAGAGAAGTAGAGGGACCTGATGTTTAGAGAAGCAGTAAAACCCATTTCCCATTTTCTTTCTTCAGCCGGATGGAAGTACTTGGAGGCTGGTCTCATATTCTAGCACTTTAGTGCTGGTGATGCAGATTATCTCTGCTCCAGAGTAACTCTGTGCCATGGAATCCAAGAGGATTCTGTCGCACCAGGACAGGAATGCACCCTTGTTTCATTTGCTTCCATGAAAGCAGATTTCAGAGATTCTCAGATGCTATGAGACTAATTGTCACTTAGGGTAGGCTCCAGGGGAGGGACAGAGAAGGGCAGTGCTAATAACAGGGACTCTGGAGACAAGATCAGCAATCTAAGAAACAAATGTGAGACATTTTACCCCTCCCTAATCTACTCCCCTTTTAAAAGTTCATCTTCATTTTCCCTTTTTCTACCACGCAGTAATTGATAATTAAACACAGCTCTGGTTTTTACCATGCAATCTAGTAGAACACCTAGACATCAGGAACTCCTTATCTTTGGTTATTTATACAATAATGAAATCTGTAGTTCACGCTAGGCTGTGTGGACAGTATCTGCATCTCTGGAAATCAACTGGAGGCCTTTCTCTTACTCTTTTCCGGTTGCTTTCCATTTCCTTTTCCACTGTGGTCCTTGCCTTTCCCAAGCTGACCAGAACTATGCACAAAACCAGTCTTCAATAAATATCAACACTGAAGCTTCAGCAGGTTGTTAACTCCTGCACAGCTATCTTAAATGCTGTATATAAGTGCAAAGTTTTATGGAGCCTCAGAGGTCTCTAAGAACACTGTAAATATCCCAGGTTTAATTAGTAGTCCCGGAGTTAGGTAATGGCCTGTGGCTTTCTGCGCTAGGTCTCTTGAGGTTTCTAGTCTTCAGAGGTTGCCTGCAACTATGATGTGCACATATACAGTACTCTTTCTCAAATACAGCATAAACCCTCTTTAGACTTTGCTAGGCACTTACAATTATTGAACACACATGCAGATTGATTCTCATTCTCTCAAAGTTTGAAAAACAACTCAGTGCTTCAACCTAGGTCTCGTTAGATATTTTTTGACTCAAATTGTCGTCTGTAGTTCTACTTCCTAAGGGAAATGAAAAAACAATAAATTCCCAGACTGGTGTTGATGCTCATTCTCTTTAAGCGGGTCGACTACTTGCTTTGTAGATCCTTGACGGGTGGGGTGCGGGGTAGGAGTGCGATCCAACTCTCAGCATTTCCGAATCAGCTCTCTCACGGTGACAGGTCAGCCCAATCGGGGCTGTAAACAGACTTGACAGGTTTGTTCTGGGCTGACGGCCATTGACTAGGTTCTCAGACCAGATAAGTCACTTGGCTGAGTCCACAGTAGGTGGGGCGCGCTCACCAGCTCAGGGGTAGTGACTGGACGTTTGTTGCAACATCGGAGAATGCACGCTCTGGGCTGCAGCAGGAGATACCCTCAAGCACAGAACCAAAAGGGTTCACCCTAAGCGGCAGGGCATCAGCGATGGAGAGGCCCGAGAGCCCTAGCGCCCAGCTCCTTTTCCCACGTTTGGGAAGGCGCAGAATAGGTCGATGTAGAGCAAGGAGTGAGTCTCAGGTCTCAGTCCTTTGGCTTGCTCTTAGGGTAGCAGGCGAGGAGTGGCACCAGTTTGGGGACTCTCTCCCCGCGTTCTGTAAGAATCGGCGGCAGCCAGCAGGCGGGGAGGCGGGGGCACGTGTTTGGATGTGGGTGCTTGTGTAACCAGTTCCCCAAGCGCCAGCCCCGACAGCGCTCCTTCGGGAGGCTGGTCCGAGCCCCTGTTTCCGCCGCGGCGCAGGAAGGGTTGGGGTTCCGCTGCCTGCACCAGGCAAGAGCACCCCGAGCAAAGGAAGAAGACGACTTGCCTCCGGAGCTATCACTGGGGAGTGGGAATTTGGAAAGTTCCCCAACTAGGGACACACGTGACCTCCTTCGGAAAGTAGTTCCGACTGTGGCCCGTGTATCCTTCCACCTCCTTTTGAACCCTCCTAGGTCTCCTCGCCCCGCCCACTCGCTGGGCTGCAGCTTCCTACCGTTCCGTACTTTCCACTCAACCCGGTAACCCCAAACGTGCACGGTCCGGCCGGGGCGCGCGGAGCCTGGCCCCGGGCGATCCATCCTGCCGGGTTTTCACGGCGGCCAAGGGGGGGCGGGGCTAGGTGGTCTCTGAGAACCGAGCTTGACTCCGACGCCGCGAACCGACCTGGAGCCCGAGGGGAAAGATGCTCGACTCTCTTGGGGGCACCGGAGCGGGCGCAGGAGAGGCCTGCGGGGTGCGTCCCACTCACAGGGATCCTCTTTCAGTTCATTTAGATAGGTGCCCTTTGGGCCCTTGAAATTCAACGGCTATGTGTTCACGTTCAGCACGCTCGGCTGAGAGCTTTCATTTTTAGGGCAAACGAGCCGAGTTACCGGGGAAGCGAGAGGTGGGGCGCTGCAAGGGAGCCGGATGAGGTGATACACGCTGGCGACACAATAGCAGGTTGCTCTTTGTGCTAAGACTGACACCATGAGGACACAGATTTGGGGGAAGGGGGAATCTCTAGGCAAAGGCTGTTACAGTCAAATCTCTGCGAACGATTGTGATCCGACAGCGGTGCAAAAGGAAAGAGCGAATGCAGTCCACGCCGCGGAAATCTAGGGGTAGAGGCAAGGGGGGAGGGTATTCCCCTTGCAGGGACCGTCCCTGCATTTCCCTCTACACTGAGCAGCGTGGTCACCTGGTCCTTTTCACCTGTGCACAGGTAACCTCAGACTCGAGTCAGTGACACTGCTCAACGCACCCATCTCAGCTTTCATCATCAGTCCTCCACCCCCGCCCCACAACAGCCTACCCTGCCTCCGGCTGGGTTTCTGGGCAGAGGCCGAGGCTTAGCTCGTTATCCTCGCCTCGCGTTGCTGCAAAAGCCGCAGCAAGTGCAGCTGCAGGCTGGCGGCTGGGAACCGGCCCGAGCAAGCCCCAGGCAGCTACACTGGGCATGCTCAGTAGAGCCTGCGGCTTGGGGACTCTGCGCTCGCACCCAGAGCTACCGCTCTGCCCCCTCCTACCGCCCCCTGCCCTGCCCTGCCCTCCCCTCGCCCGGCGCGGTCCCGTCCGCCTCTCGCTCGCCTCCCGCCTCCCCTCGGTCTTCCGAGGCGCCCGGGCTCCCGGCGCGGCGGCGGAGGGGGCGGGCAGGCCGGCGGGCGGTGATGTGGCGGGACTCTTTATGCGCTGCGGCAGGATACGCGCTCGGCGCTGGGACGCGACTGCGCTCAGTTCTCTCCTCTCGGAAGCTGCAGCCATGATGGAAGTTTGAGAGTTGAGCCGCTGTGAGGCGAGGCCGGGCTCAGGCGAGGGAGATGAGAGACGGCGGCGGCCGCGGCCCGGAGCCCCTCTCAGCGCCTGTGAGCAGCCGCGGGGGCAGCGCCCTCGGGGAGCCGGCCGGCCTGCGGCGGCGGCAGCGGCGGCGTTTCTCGCCTCCTCTTCGTCTTTTCTAACCGTGCAGCCTCTTCCTCGGCTTCTCCTGAAAGGGAAGGTGGAAGCCGTGGGCTCGGGCGGGAGCCGGCTGAGGCGCGGCGGCGGCGGCGGCACCTCCCGCTCCTGGAGCGGGGGGGAGAAGCGGCGGCGGCGGCGGCCGCGGCGGCTGCAGCTCCAGGGAGGGGGTCTGAGTCGCCTGTCACCATTTCCAGGGCTGGGAACGCCGGAGAGTTGGTCTCTCCCCTTCTACTGCCTCCAACACGGCGGCGGCGGCGGCTGGCACATCCAGGGACCCGGGCCGGTTTTAAACCTCCCGTGCGCCGCCGCCGCACCCCCCGTGGCCCGGGCTCCGGAGGCCGCCGGCGGAGGCAGCCGTTCGGAGGATTATTCGTCTTCTCCCCATTCCGCTGCCGCCGCTGCCAGGCCTCTGGCTGCTGAGGAGAAGCAGGCCCAGTCGCTGCAACCATCCAGCAGCCGCCGCAGCAGCCATTACCCGGCTGCGGTCCAGAGCCAAGCGGCGGCAGAGCGAGGGGCATCAGCTACCGCCAAGTCCAGAGCCATTTCCATCCTGCAGAAGAAGCCCCGCCACCAGCAGCTTCTGCCATCTCTCTCCTCCTTTTTCTTCAGCCACAGGCTCCCAGACATGACAGCCATCATCAAAGAGATCGTTAGCAGAAACAAAAGGAGATATCAAGAGGATGGATTCGACTTAGACTTGACCTGTATCCATTTCTGCGGCTGCTCCTCTTTACCTTTCTGTCACTCTCTTAGAACGTGGGAGTAGACGGATGCGAAAATGTCCGTAGTTTGGGTGACTATAACATTTAACCCTGGTCAGGTTGCTAGGTCATATATTTTGTGTTTCCTTTCTGTGTATTCAACCTAGGGTGTGTTTGGCTAGACGGAACTCTTGCCTGGTTGCAAGTGTCAAGCCACCGATTGCTTTCTTAGGCTATCTATATGGTCTCTTCCTGAGGGCTATTGTCCGTTAATACAGAATACAGTACACTGTTAGTGGATTAGCGAGCTCGGTAATCCGGTCTCCTAAATGAACAAAAAAGTAGACGCTTTTTGAGGTTGAGCATATTTCGATTAAATCTTGGCTTAGGCCCTAGATCAAGGGTTTAGATCAGAATAAAATGAAAATTAGTGTTGCACGTACGCATATTGCATCAGAATCTTGCAGTGATTGTTTTAGTTTCCTGAGTTGCATTGATAGATTCTTTTAAAATATGACTGATTTGCATAACTTTAGAAGCAGAATCATTTTCAGTATATATGGTGCACATTGAGGGCAAAAAGTAGTTTTGTTAATGTTTAAACTTAAGTTACCTACAACTTTGAACTGTATGTAGAAGTTTTGTAGTTTGAAGTCAATAGTGCCATAATATACCTTATAAGGCGTTCTTACTAGATCTTTGTTATATTTACCTTTTTCTCTCCCTATGGGGTGATGTAGGATAGTGCTTGAAATTTGCACTTCAGTAGCATTTAATGTTCAGTGCTCTTGTCATAAACATAGAATGGATATTGAGTAGTTTCTGATCCCAGATGGTAATGTGTAGGTTCAAGGGTATTGTGTGTAGCAAGTGAAGATTGCAGAAATAAAACTTCAGTTCATGCTTGAAATTTAAGTATTGTTGTGATGCCAGAATTGCTGCTCACCGTTTTTAGGTTTCAGGTCCTCTGACACCTTTTGGTATCGTTAATTTTACTGATTTGTGTAGAATGTCAGTTGTATTTTACCAGCTAATATCTAGAAATGCTGGCAAGAGGGGTTTACTCCAGCTTTAGATTGTAGGTATGTTAGCTTTTTTCATACAGTGTATTAAATTTACTGAGTCAGCTTGCTGAATAAGACAGAAGCCCAAGAATTTTAACAGTGTGTAGCTTTAGTTGTCTAAAAGTTAGGCCTTCGGGCTTCAAAAGTTAGTGGTCATCGAAAAGCATTAATCTTTGCAGTTTCAGGTACAACACATTGGTTTTGATTAGGGATGGGGATGGGGCCCTCTTTTTGCAGAATGGGGAAAGTATTGACAGGAATTGAGAGCTATTGGTAGGCCAGTGTATAAGGTATGTGAAAACAGAATTAAGTTATTGGTCTGAAGTGACTGAAGCATTTAGGCTCTATCAAGGCCTAAAATTTGGTAATATGAGTTTGGTAATGCGAATTGTGGCAGTGGACAATATTTAGTTAAAATTATGTAATTGCATAAGTACTAGCACAGTATTTTTAATAAAAGTTATTTCTTAGCAAATGTCAGTTGCATTTTGTCTAAAGGTAGAGTGACACTACAGTGTCTATATGTCCTGCTAAAAATTGTGGGGAATATTTTTTTTTAAGACAGCGTTTATATCGGGAGAGGTTTTATTCCGTTGGATTATGTTAGCTGCATATAAATGTGCACAGTTAATTTTGCCCAAGTTTTTGTTTTGAAATGAATGTAAAACTTACTGAAGAAGTAGCTTCCCAAAATTTAGTTTTCTGTTAAGCCAAAAATATTATTTTAAAAGAGTATTTGCAAATTTTGAAGTTGACATTAATTGAGAATGTTACTAAGGCTAAACTGGACCCGCTTGCCCAGAAGATAATTATGGAAAAATTCTTTTGTGACTTCCAAAGCAGTCTACTATTAGCATGAATTACTGACAGTCATCCAAATATATAGGAACAAAAAATTAAATGTTTATGTAACTTTGAAAAAAAAGCCTTTGAAGAAAATAATTGAATGCTGTCTGGGAGACAGATTTCTTTCAGCACTTAAAGTACATAACACACTACTTTTACTTTTCCCACTTGATTTTAAATTATCAGGGTTATTAAGACCTTAAAATTATTTTACCAGGTTTTTACATGTGAGCTGTGACATGACTGGCATTTTCTTTGATTTCAGCGTATGTTGGTCTCTACACATGAAATTTGTGTGACTTAAAACTTTCTCTAAAACTGTACTTTTAGTTATGATATGCATAGAAAGCAGTATCAAATATTGCGTCAAATGACTAATAACACTTAATTTCTAGAGTTGTGGTTTTATTGAGCCAAAAGTTGATATGAAAAAAAGTCAGTAAGGAAAGTCAGTGAAGTGCTTGCTTTTTTGATAATTGCACTCCCAATAATTTTGATATTCCAACGTACTTGGTTTGCTTGTTTTCACGTTAATGTTTTCTGTTTATTGGAGTGGGAAGGCATTAAAATTGTCATTGAAGACTTTGTCTTTGACATGTTGTAGTATTTATTTCAGTAACTAACCTGTGAAAAGTTAAATTCCTTTATGAAAGTAGTGATTGGAGTATTTTTATCTGATAAAGAAAGATTAATAATGAAGCCATTTCTCCGAGGAAAATTGAGGACAATAATTCAGTTTTAAAATATTATCGCAAAATTAAATTATTCTAAAAATTTGTTAGTAGGGTTATATGCTTAATATTAGTCTGAAATATAGTGCTGAATTTGAGACTATAGAAAAATTAAGTGTATTTAGGGTATGTGGAAACGTTAGGCTTCTGTTGTATTTTTATTGTTTGGTAGATTTGCCTCTTTTCAAATAAATGTTCACAGGGAATACTTTTAACTTGTAGAGAGTACAGTGACTATTGAAGTTACCTAAATTACCTCAAGGTAAGTGATTACTGAAATTAATCATGAGGGTTTTAAAAAGTATTCTATTCACAACATTTATTTTACATTGTTTTGTATCTGCTAAGTTATATTTCCTGAAAAACATGACTGGACCACCTAATTGCTGTATGATAACTTACAAACTTCATTTTTCATAGTGCTTATTCAAGTGTAAAGCACAACTGAAAGGAGTAATGTACAGTTTATATGAGGAAAAAGGAATTTTATTGCTGCCAGTGTAAAAGTTTGCACAGCAGTATAGTCATCAATGCAGATTTACATTGCTTATAATATACTAAGTAAATACTAAATGATTAAAGATAATAAAATATGGTGAGGTATAACCACCTTCATTTTAAACTTAGTTTTAGAAGATAGTAAAGAAAGATTCCTTTATTACCTTTTTAGAATTTTATTTTTAATAACATGGGAAAGGCAACTGGTGATATTTTAATTTTTGTATGGAACAGTGCATCTGCTTTCTCATAGCCACATAAAATACATAAACTTCTTAGTGTTATGAAATGGCTTACTTTTTGGAAGTGAAGAAGTCTTCAATTCTTATTTTCTAATGTTATTTTGAAATTTGCCTCCATTTGCTGTTTGTTCATTTGGTGATAGCGCAACACTTAAAAAAATATTTTAAGCCGCTTCTGAAGTAATCACTTCAGTGACTTTTAATGGAGGAGTATTTGTTATGGGAAATTCACTTCACAAAGTTTTAACATTAATTCACTTGAAGTAAACGTGCTATTTTTAAATTTTCATCTCAATCTTTTAAGTAAGACGAAAGCTTAGGAAATCACTTTTATTATTGATATTGTGTGTGACTTCAGAGTTTGTAAAGAGAATTGTAGAAGTGTTGCATGCATATGACAATTTTCTGCTTAATTGAAATGTGAGGCCTCTGCCATACTACAAGGATTTAGCTTCCAGAAAATGTAATATTAACATAGCTTAAGAAATGTATTTTTTTTTTTCTGTAGAAACCGTTGGGTTAAACAAACAGTTCAGAAGTTTTATTACATGGAACCCATTAGTTCTTAATCTTGTTACCTTTTTCTTCATTTTTTCTGTTAAACTTGATTTTCACAGTCAGCATTGAAGAATTCATCTTGTGGCCTGAATTCATTAAGAAAAGATGTTAGGATTTGTTCTGAAGATAGTGACTTAGGAAATTTGTGAGACTGGGGTCAGTCAGTTCTGTTTTACAATTGCTTTCTATTTGGTAGCTTTGAAATTAATTTAGTTGCTTATCAGAGAGAATAATGTTGAGGTTAGACTAACCTTAAATTGGTAAGGCTTTGCTGAGCAAACTGATAACTGTAAGTCTTTTATAGGGTGCATTACTGCCACATATACGTTCTTCCATAGGTGGTTAAAAGTATATTGGTCTGTGTTTGGTGATTCTCTTTGTACATATTGAGTATATGCATTCACTAATGTAAAATAATTTGCCAAGAAAGGTGAAATTAGTATATTGTACTTGACTATTCACCTTTCCCTTAGTTTTTTGAATTTTTTTCATTGGTTGCAGAGGAAGTATTAGCAATTTAATTCTTTTAAAATAATTTGCACTGGAATAAATAAGTATCGGCAAATATAAGAAGAGTAACATAATTTAAGGGTGAATTAATTTTATTTGGGAAGTTTTAGTTCTGTATAGTTAAGGCAGATTCTTCATTTGCAACAGTTGACATTGGGACATGTGTGAACATCTTCAAGGTATTAGGACATCTTCAAGGCATTACTTTTTGGCAGTGTTGAGAATTTTTTTTTTTTTTTTTTTTTTTTTGAGATGGAATCTCGCTCTATCGCCCAGTCTGGGGTGCAGTGGCAGGATCTCGGCTCACTGGAACCTCTGCCTCCCAGGTTCAGGCGATTCTCCTGCCTGAACCTCCCAAGCAGCTGGGATTATAGGTGCATGCCACCACGCCCAGATAGTTTTTGTACTTTTAGTAGAGATGGGGTTTTACCACCTTGGCCAGGCTGGTCTCAAACTCCAGACCTCAAGTGATCCGCCTGCCTCGGCCTCCCAAAATGCTGGGATTACAGGCGTGAGCCACTGCGCCTGGCCAGTGTTGAGAATATTGAGAGATGGATATTGTAGCTGTACCTGCCATCAAAAGAATTTTCTTGACCTCCACATAGTGTGAAAAAGAAGACTGTTTACACATTATATTTTAAGTAATTATACACATAATTATTATCAGTACTCACCACTTCAAATATGAACAGTGAATCTAACCAGTGTTTGATTTCTCTGTGTGTGTATGTGTATACAAAGTTAGCAAACCTTTTATCTTAATATTTATTAAAAAACGAATTTTTGTTTCTTTAAAGAAAAGACTACCTTAGAGAATATTGTTCTATAGTTTTTAAATATGGTCAGATCTATTTTAAATTATGTTAAAATTTTGAGTATTACGTTTATCTATACTTTTAAGCATATATACATTGTTTCATTTTAGATTTTAGGGAGGCAGTGTGGGCTCTGGAGCCAGACTGCTTGTTTTGTAATCCTGGATCTTCCATTTAGTAGCTGGATGACTTTGAGTAGGTTATTTAGATTTTCTCAATCTATTTTATCTGTAAAATGGGGATGATAATGGAACCTACCGCATACGTTTATCTTGAATAGTAAGTGAGATAATAATAAGTAATTTCATTTAGCATAGTACCTGCCACATTGTAAATACTTAAATGGTAGCTACTGCTCTGAAAAACTGTAATTTCAGGTTATGTATGTAGGGAAATTATTTGTATTTTCATTTATGGTGTATGATTGTAACTGAATTTCCTCAGTTTGGGCCATGTTAGGATTTTGTTTCAAGTTATAAGTGTTTTTAAAAATAAGGGTATTCCTTTAGGAAGTCTGGGTATGACATGTCTGTGATTTTGCTGGTTCATCACAAATGGG